>NT_113888.1:0-191469 GCF_000001405.40 Homo sapiens
GATCCCTGCCCTAAAACTTTCCCCCCTCATGTCCAGCAAATGCTGCATGGAGCCCTGGAATTCTATGTGGAAAGCTAGGAAGGGGGAGAGCTGAAATGAAGATGTAATCACCCTTTCCAAAGAGGTCAGTCCGGTACTAAGCTGTGCTCCTGGGCAAGCTCTCCAGGCTGAGGGAACAGGAGCAGGGGTTATGTTGGGTGAAGGTGGAAGTGAGGGACCTCCCAGGAGGTGTAGAATATTCCACTAGGGACACCTCATACCCTTCGAGGATTAGACCTTGAGGCCTGGAGATCCCCAGGCAATTAGTATTGAAGGTCGAAAGGCCAGTGACAGGAATAGGAAGGCCCACTGTGTCATTCACAAAGCACTTCCAAACCCATCATCACAGGTGACCCTCACAACAACCCTGTGAGACCTGCAGGGCAGGGGCTCTCACAAAGGAGGAGTCAGGAATGTCAAGACTTTAACACCTTCTCCAAGTCAGGATCAGGAAATGCTGTCCCAGCCCTGACCTATATTCCCTATGCTTCCTCCCACAAAACAGCTTAGGGTGACTGCCAACTTGTGGGCAGAGACCCTCACTTTCCAATCCCCACAAGGGGCTGTGCAGTGGGGAGGATGAGGCCCCCTCCTCTGACTGTCTCCTCCAAGACCCTGTTTTCTGAGGAAGGTCACTCTGGGAACTGTTGGCCTCTGCAGATGGGGGCCTGGACCGTGTGGAAACACGACGTGAAGGTCACACCTGGCAGGCACCAGTGCTGGAGGGCAAACCTCACCTTTAAAAACTCACACTTTTTATTTTAAATTTATTTTTATTTTTAATTTATATGAGTACATGGTAGGTGTATATATTTATGGGGTACATGAGATAGTTTGACACAGGCATGCAATGTGTAATAATCACATCAGGGTAAATGGGGCATTCATCACCTCAAGCAAGGGAAATGCCAGATGTTTATAAAACCATCAGATCACATGAGAACTCACTTACTATCATGAGAACAGCATGGGGGAAACTGCCGCCATGATTCAGTTACCTCTCACTGGGCCTCTCCCATGACACATGAGGATTACGGAAATTACAGTTCAAGATGAGATTTGGGTGGCTACACAGCCAAACCATATCACCTTATAAAATTAATAAAGTGGAAATAGCAGCGGGCCTGAGTCCTGGCCCCTGCCTTGTGATGCCCCCTCTTGAGGAGGGCCTGGCTTCTGTGCCATGCAGAAACTTTCCTGTGCTTCCTGTGGGCTTGGGGTGAGCCAGGTCCTCCTGGGGGAGCTGGGCACTTGTGGGACAGGAGGGTCACTGGCCTGGGGTGTCCATTTGCCTCCTTACCCCATCAACAAAACACCAGAGGAGCCAACTCAACAAACCTCAATGTATAGCCCTTCCTGGACCCTAGGTGTTCAGGGCCCCCTGAGCTGCCCTGGACAGAACACTGGGCAGTGGCCAGTGCTTCCCCAACAACTCCCCCATGCACAGATGCCTGGTGGACACACTTCCCTTAACCATGCTCAGCTGGAGCTCAGCCCCCATCCTAGTACCTCTGCCTTCTCCTCCAGGACATGAAAAGGAAACCCAACTCCAAACCCATGGAGAATCCTCATCTTGGGTGAGGCCCTGGCTGGGACTCAGCCCCTTGTCAGGCCCTCGAGGAGCTCCATCTTCCCCTGTTTCCCTGCCACATGGGACCCAGGGCCTGTGGGAAAGAGTTGAGGGTGTTGTCCACTCAGCAGGTACCGCATGATCTTTGGGAAGGATTTGTGTTATACCTGCTCCTGGTGGGATAGAAGGCTCCGGAGCTGGGGAGTATTTGGGCTGTAGAAAACTGAGAAGCCCCTGACCCATCATGCATCAGAGCCCACTCCCAAGATGTGGAGCCGTCAGCTGGAAGAGCTGGGCAGTGGCAGGGGACCCCGGACCGTGAGGCCTTCCTCCTTTCCATCAGGTGACCCTAATATGTGGCCTCAGCTCTAGGGAGGTGGGCCCTAGCTGGAGGCACTGCACAGCAGCATCCTGGGTAGAGGTGCCAGGAGGGCAGGCCTGCCTTTGAGGCTATGAGGAAGGGCTGAGGCAGGCAGTGGCCAGTGGAGGGAACGGGGTGGGTACCGAGGGACTACATGGCCATCTCCTGGACATGGGGTCTGGCTGGGGGACATGAGATGGGCAGACACTGCCATCTTGATTTCATTGGCCCATCTGTGGGCTGGGAGGCCAGCTGGCGGTGTGGCCAGCTGGGAGGTAGGAGGACTCTTGGGGAAGGGAGAGTCACCTGCATGAACTCAGGGCTAGAGGGCTGTGGCTCTGGGACACACAGCGTGGCCAGGGGGAGGCTGCAGCGCCCTCTGCTGTTGGGAATGAAAGGTGTCTGCCTTGAAGTGAAAGGGTCCCTGTTCAGCTCTGGGTCCCTGTGGGACCCTCAGCAGGGATGTCCTGAAGGCTCCTAACAAGCTGGAAAGCAAGGATGGTGCCTTGCCTGGAAGTCAGGATCGCCCAGCCAGGGTGGCCATCCCATGGCCTGGCTGTGTGAGGCCCTGGGGGTAGCTGTCCGCCTACCCTGCAGGGAGTGCCCCTCCTCGGCCATCAGCTGATCCAGTGCCCAGAAGGTGTCTTCCTCTGGCAGATACAGGAGGAGGATGGCAGTTAGGCAGCTCATGTCCCTGTGGTAGCCCACCTCCTGCAAGAGCCAGAGTCACCATGGAAGCATGTCACCTGAGAGGGATGAGGCCATCTGGGAGGACTCGTGTCACTGGAGAGGACAGAGGTCACCTGGGAGACCTCCCTCAGGCCCTAGGGGATTTAGGGCGCAGACTCTGCACCCCTCCCCTGACCCTGGACATGAGGGCTAAGCAAGTCCCCCACAACTCAGTTAAAAAGGGACCTGGAGGGACTTCTGCAGTGAGTGTCCAACCTCACATGGTCTGAAGGGGCAGAGGCAAGGGTCATTCACATCCCCTATCATGGGCCAGGCTGGAAAGGCCAGTGTGCCAGGCCTGGGGAAGCACCTGTGAACTGCACCCACCACAAGGGCAGGCAGTGGGCCACTGATCACCACACAATGGATCGTGTGATGGCCCAGGGGCTGCCTGCCAGGCACAGGAGGGCAGCTGGGTCCAGACCCTATGTGAGCAGCCCGTGGAGTGATCTCAGCAGCTCTCCCTGCCTGGAATGGTCTGGGAAGTGGGGGCCAAGCAGGAACAGCCACCTGGGTGACCTCCTCCCTGTCTACTGTTCTCTTACGGGGTTAAGGCAAAGGGGAAATTGGATCCCTGCCAGGTTTCCAATAAAGAGGCTTCCTCAGGATTCAAACTCATTTCATGAGAAGAGCCTGGCCCCATCAGGCACCTCAGCAACTTGTCAAACATGTCTCCTGCAAGGACTATCCTGTGTGCAACACTGCTAAGCTCCTTGTTTTGGGCAGCACCAGGAGGGGAGGGTCATTTCTTCTTCTGAGACATGGTGGTTGGGTCCAGGTGACATCCACAGTCTGGGCCCTGACCCCTTTCACTCTCAGCGGGACCCCTTGAGACACCAGCTTCCCTTCCTTGCTCGGGTGTCCACACCAGCAGTTCTACCTACTACATTATTACAGCCAGATCAGGATCAATGTCCTCTCTCTGGAATAAATGCAGTGACCACTGTTCTTTGAGCATTATTTATCTTAAATTATTGTTTTAATTAGAAATGTATTTCACTTATATTAGCCAAATTTCCTTTCAATGTAACCAAATTTCTTTTAAGTGAAAATTAAATATTTACCTTCTGCTATCAAGCATTCTATGTACACAAAATGTTTATTTTTTTCAACTTTAGAAAAAAATTGAAAATGTCTACATGCTACTAATCTAAAAATACAGGCTCTGGGTTTATATGGTGTTTACCTTTCTTCCAAATTTTAAGGAATAGATATTTAAATGGCATCTACTTTGTTTTAAAATACATAAAATGTTTTAAGCTTTTGACCTCAAAATTTACAGTAGCAAAGCTACTCCGTAATGAATAAACCACAGAATCAAAACAAAGAAAGATTCCACAGACCAGTCTAACCAACAATACAATTATAAACTAGTTGTTCAAATATCAAAAACCAATTTCAATGACAAATGAATGGTATGAAAACCCCGCAAATGTCAAGTAGAATATATTATACTTGAATGAAATTATGAGTTGAGAGTAGGAAATCTATGTTTAACCAAGCAAATTAAATAATGTTTATGAGGAAATTATCTGCTAATGTTTTATTATTTGGCAAGCTATTCAGTGGAACACAAAGATATTCTTAATGAAGTCGAAAATATATTTTAAAATGTTACTGAAGTGGATTAAAAAATAATGAGGACATGAATAACTTTTAAAAGTATTCTGGGATAAAGAGAGAAAAATAAATTTAGATTTCATACATACATAAAATATATTTTAAAAGTTGTGTTTTCTGGTTGCTCAAATAAAAGGAGCAGATATTTAAATTCCATGCCTTTCATTTTAAAGTTTAGGAAATGCTTATAGCTTTCCACACTGACATTTATACTGACACAGTTAATCTAATCGAGTGATAACAAAATCAAAACAAGCAGAATTCTCTTGAGCAATCTATTTTCTTGATTTTTAAAAGTCAATGTACTCTCAAAGAAACAAAACTATTATTCGTGGATTCTGTTATTTGAAAACATTTACTGATCATTTACCTTACACCAAATGATCTCCAGCTCGTGGAAAAATATGTAAAGTTGCCCAGCTGCATTAAGCTTAAACTCTTCTGAAGGAGAAAAGAAGCAATGGAGTAGGGACATTAAAGCAGGAGTGTGGTGATATGGCTGAGACTTCTACTTGCACACTGTGGTAGCTGTGTGGAGAATGGATTGAAAAAAGGGCAATGACAGAAGCTTAAATTAGTATCAAATATGGCAATCCTGTAAATTTAGGTGTCCTTGAAATAAGAATGTATAATAGTTCTCATTATTTCCCCAAGAAATCTCTGCATTTGGCCTTGTGAGGGAAGCGCTATAGTTACCAAGTGGTGGGGGTGGGAAGGTGAATTTGAAACAACATTTGGAATTACTACACTTTAAAGGTAAAGCTGGCAGGAATTCCATACACGTCAGATCTGAAAATGTGTGTGTGTGTGTGTGTGTGTGTGTGTGTCTGTCTGTGTGTGTTTGTGTGTGTGTGAAGCAGGGAGAGAGAGCAAGAGTGAAAGTGAGCAAGAGAGAGAGGAGAGAGAGAGAGAGAATCAGACAGATACAGAAAAAGATTGACAGAGCTGCAGAGACAGAATTAAAAGGGGACACCAAGAATATTGAGCTGAGAAACTATAAAATGGGAGTAGCCGTTAAACAGAATGGGGAAGAGCAAATTTGGGGAGTTTCAGTGGCTCAATATAGACATATTAATTTTGAGATTCCTAACTGACATCCACGTGGATAAGTCAGGGAGTGTTGGGTGTAGTGTCCAGTGTTTAGGTGTAATAAGAAATATCAGGAAATTAATGACACAAACATTAGTAAGAAAGCAAAGATAAGAAGTCGAAGTCCTGAGCCTAATGGTCCTCTAATATTTAAAAAATAGAAAAGATGAAACCTGCAATAAAGGACTAGGGGTAATTATCCAAAACATGGTGGGGGGGAAGTAGGTTAAGTATTCTGGAATTCTATAAAAAAGTTTTACAAAGAGAAGGTGGAGATCAACTGTGTGAAATGCTGCTGATATATAAATTAAGACGAAGGCCGAGGAGTTATGGTTCAATTTATAGTTTAACAATATGGATAGCACTTATGTTTTGATACGAGCAGCTTCGTTGGAGTGAGTAGGTGAGAAATCATATTGGAGTGGTTGCTGAAATGAAAGTCTGATCTCTGGATTCTTAAGGAAAAATTTTATTGGACTGCAGAGACATAAATTGGATTTTTAATTCTGGAGTCAGGATGTGCTCAGTAAACATGTGCCCATTAATGCCTCCTCGCATTTTTTTAGCTCGGTATTCTGTTATCTTTTAATAATATAATAATGACTTGCAAAACCTACACCCATTTTGCAGCAAACCGTGACACATGTATACCTGTGTAACAAACCTGCATGTTCTGCACATTTATCCCAGAACTTAAAGTATATATATACACTTTATATATATATATTCTCTCTCTCTCTCTCTCTCTATATATATATATATAGAGAGAGAGAGAGAGAGAGAGAGACAGACAGACAGACAGACAGAGAGAGAGAGACAGAAAACCCAGCCAAGTGCGGTGGCTCATGATTGTAATCCCAGGGCTTTGGGAGGCTGAGACAGGTCGACCATCTGAGGTCAGGATTGAGAACAGCCTGGCCAACATGGTGAAACCCTGTCTTTACTAAACATACAAAAATTAGCTGGGTGTGGTGGGGGGCACCTATAGTCCCAGCTACTTGAGAGGCCAAAGCAGGAGAATCACTTGAACCTGGAAGGCAAAGACTGCAGTGAGCTAAGATCACGCCACAGCACTACAGCCTGGGTGACGGGGTGAGACTGCCTCAAAAACAAAAACAAAAAACCCTTTTAATTGACAAATTTTACAAAGACTGATACTAGAGGTTGTTGGACAGGCCGTTGTCCCACATAATATCTTAAGAGTTGCCGATGCACAAGTAAGATGGTAAAATGCCTTTGAAAAACTGACCATACCTGCTATACTTAAATATTCAGATACAAAACTCCCAGAAATTCCATCTTGTCATTTATTTCCACAAGAAATAACAAGAGACCTGTATTAAAATATCCATTTCTATTAAAAATACTCAAACTAGGTTTCTTCAAATTTTTGTATTAGTAGCTCTTGTTTTCAGCAGTACAACTTCTACTATATATGTGTATATATATTTAATATATATATGCACACATACATATATTATATATGTATATATATTAGATATATATGTATATTATACATATACATATATGTATATATTATGTATGTATGTATATATGCACATATGTGTATGTTATATAGATACAAATATGTATATATGTTATATATATACACAAATGTATATATGTTATATATATACACAAATGTATATATGTTATATAAATACACAAATGTATATATGTAATATATATACATATTATATGTATATATGTATATATAATATATGTATATATATTAGGCAGAGTTTTGCTCTTGTTGCCCAGGCTGGAGTGCAATGGTGCAATCTCAGCTCACTGCCACCTCCACCTCCTGGGTTCAAGCGATTGTCCTGCCTCTGTCTCCCAAGTAGCTGGGATACAGGCATGTGCCACCACCCTCGGCTAATTTTGTATTTTTAGTAGAGATTGGGTTTCACCGTGTTGGTCAGGCTGGTCTCAAACTCCTGACCTCAGGTGATCCACTTGCCTCGGCCTCCCAAAGTGCTGGGATTACAGGTGTGACCACTGTGCTCGGCCTATTTTGTATTTTTTAATCTACAAAACTCTAAGAACACATATTTTAAATAAATTTGTACATTCAGTGCCTAGAACAAAACCAGCATTTTGTAGATTCCAAAGAATTATTTGTTGTATAAATGATGAATAACTTAAATAAGTTATTATTTATAACATCTATATACAAACAATATATTACCTGAGAATACAGTGATAACATTTGTTATGTATAAAATGATTGCAATCTCAGTTAAAAAATATTTTTTGCATGAGTTATTATCATATGCAGATGCTCACATTGTTTTGTTTAGATGAAAATGTTTGTAACTACTATGCACATTTTTGTTACTTAAGCCTTTTGGTCTTGCTGCCATAGCAAATACCGTGCCTCTTAAGAACATGAACCTGTTTTTCTTCATTTTTTAGCAGATTTCTTAACGAAATATATAGCATACTATTTTGTTTAACACATAAGCAGACACCCTGTCGAAGCAAAGAGACATCTACTCCACCATTACCACCCATCCCTCTGCTAACGTGGCTGCTGAAGATGTTACCTAGAGCAGAGGACTTTGTGTTCAGCCTAAGCACTTTGTATCCTTTATTTTCAATTGGGTAGGAGATAAAATAATTCAGCAGCAATAAAAGTCACACTTCTTAAAGTTGCAGTCTCACCAATGCACCACAATGTAGCAGTCTCTCTTATGAGGTATCACGTGGAGTTCTTCATCTCACCACCAAGATGATTAAGGAACAGGGACACACGGGTGAGGTTGGAGGGAAAGTTTAATAATCAAAAGGAGGAAGCTCTCTGCAGCAGACAAGAGAGTCCAACTGGATTGCCGTTTTTACTGTTGAATCAAAAAGCTTTTATAAGAAACTCCTCTCAGCTCTATATAAAACTGTCTGCACAATTCCCTTTATATATCCAGCTGTGGGTATGTGTCTAGTCAAGCACAAAGTAGGCTTCTCTTGTTTGTATAACTGTGGGTTTGTTTTAGGTAAGCCCCCCTCCTCCCTGTGCAAGTTCCCACAGAGGCCGCCATGTATATGCCTGAAAAAGGGAGGAAAATTTTACCTGGGAGCTTGCCAATTACACAAAGAACAGAAGGCATGTGTGCTGGACCTTGCATGCTTATCTGTTCAGGACTTATCTGTAGGTGCAGTAGTTGTGATTTTTCAGGCAGACAGCTTCCCTGAGGACCAGTCTCTTACTTGTTTACTGAACTAATTTTCCTTTCCTTCTCCCTCAACATTATGCAGCAAAACAGAGTACACTTCTCTTTCCCAGTAAACCAGGTTGGTACTCCACTCTGAATACTTGTATTATTGGATTTCTTAGAAAAAAATATTTGGGATCATAATTTAGATGCCATCAAACAATGAACAAAAACATGCTACTTCGTTTCCCTTCTCTTCTCTTGTTACCAGACAATAGCTAGTTTTCTTTTCTCTCCAACCCCTTTTTTCTGTGCTTCTACCTGATTTTTGAAAAAACTTCTACACATTTCCAATCTTAGTATAGCAGACATCAAATATGTGGTCAAACTACATACATAGGAAGAATAGAATTATATAATTATATTCAAGCATTTTAAAATAATTCCCCTTCAGTTTGTTTTGCAGTTATTTTACATAATCAAATGTCTTCCTGATATACTTTCCAACCCAGTGGTTGTCAAGCTCTGCTTTGTTTTCTAATTGCATCAGAATTATCCACAAGTCTTTTTTTTTTTTTTTTTGAGATGGAGTCTTACTGTTGCCCAGGCTGGAGTGCAGTGGCGTGATCTCAGCTCACTGTCATCTCTGCCTCCCTGATTCAAGTGATTCTCCTGCCTCAGCCTCCCAAGTAGCTGGGACTACAGATGTGTACCACCATGCCTGGCTAATTTTTGTATTTTTAGTAGAGATGAAGTTTCACCATGTTGGCCAGACTGGTTTTGAATTCCTGACCTCAAGTGATCCACTGCCTGGGCCTCCCAAAGTAGGAATTATCCAAAATTCTTATGATAAATATGGATAAATCAGCACAACTCAAGATTTAAGAAATAAAAATTTCCAAGAGAAGAAACCCAGGAATATGCATTGAAAATGTCTCCCTCAGGTGATTCTGATGTGATATGTGGTCTGAGTTTAAAATGCAAGGAAAATTACCTTCCCTGCCCTCCAGTTGGCCCTTATGTCCAGATGTCCCTCTTCCCCTTTCTCATTGTGCTCTCTCCTTCTGTGCCTTTGTTCTATTCTCCCTCCACTTCTCATCCAGATGCCAAGCCCTCTTCCATCAATTGTCTTAAAACTCCAAATGGTCAGTTGCCTCTAAACTTTCCTCTGTCCCATGAACAAGTTATGCAGGCAAATGTAGAATTTAAGCTTGGACCAAGCTGAATCAAGAGCTGCAATTAAAGGTTTCCCTAAGCCCAGAGGGGACCAGCGAATACTTTACTTATAGAAGATTTTGGATTTCCTCTGAATGCATAAGGCTCTGGGTAACCTGATTCTATAGACCAAATGTTATTGTCCCACTCAAATTCAAGTGCTGGTATCTAATTCCCTATGTGATGATATTTGGAGGTAGGGCCTTGGGGAATGATTAGCTCATGAAGGCAGGGGCCACAGGAGTGGGATTAGTAGCCCCTATTGAAGGCACCATAGAGAGCTCCCTCATCCCTTCTGTCATGTGAGGACATGGTAGAAACATGGCTGTCTATGAACCACAAAGCAAGCCCACACCAGACATGGAATCTGCTAACCACTTGACCTTGAATTTTGCCATCTCCAAAACTGAAAGAAACAAATTGGTTTATAAGCTTCCTCATCTATGGCATTCTGTTTTGACTCCAGATTAGCTAAAAACACCAAAATATCAACTTGTACACCAAATTTTCGAAATGGATGCTAAAACTTTGATAGCAAAAGGTGACTGATCTGCCTGAGAAATGAAGCTACATGATCCCTCTTTCCACAAAGCTGGAGGGAGAGTCAACACAAGCAAAAATAGGTCAAATTCTTCTAAAAGCCATACCTGAAGGGTTTTCAATATCACTTGATCAGATCGTAATTTAATCACACAAAGAGCCATAACAAAACACACAACTATCAGAGGTTTTCAATGTCACCTTAAAAACATCATCTACAATATTAGGGAGTGAAAGAAGTCATGGAAGTTTCAAAAAGTCAAACTTTATTTCAGTGTTATGGTAGAAATTTGAGATTCTTAGTTAAGCTATGAATAAATCCTTGGGCAGGTGCAGGCATGGAGATTCTGGGGTGCAGATGCTGAGTTTAAATCTTCCTTTGGAGATGCCCCCTGGCCCCCTCAACCCCTGTCTGCCTGTCAAGAAGAGGCCATCCTGGGCAGAACATTAGAGGCAAATGGCCCAGATGCCTAGCTGAGGGCAAACCTCCATGCCTGGAGGAGGAGGTCGCCTCTGGGAGCAGGAGGACCTGCTGGAACCCCTGCTCACAGGCTCCTTTTCTTGCTCTCCAGCACCTCCTGTAGGCAGGCAAACACCCCCAGCAGCAGTAGCAGCAGGCTCTTCAGCAGCAGTGCTGCTGCTCTGCTGAATGAGAGAAGTCCCTCTCCAGTGAGGCAGAGGAGCCCAGGTTGCACACCCTGGTCTCTGCCTCCATAGCTTCCACTGTGCCCAGGACTGGGAGCAGTGTGGGAGCTGCTGGCTGGAGCTGTGCTGGTCACCCCCTCTCTGCCACCTCTAGCTCCAGCCACACTTTCAGCTCCAGGGCTGAGGCCGGTGGCTGTACAGGAGGTGCCATGAAGTCAGGCAGCTTCTCACTGGGCTGGTCCTGGGCAGTCCCAGGGCAATGGTAGGAGGGCTCTGGAGCCTCCTCTAGCTCCAGCGCTGTCCCTGGAGGGGGCTTTGACCCTGGTGCTAGCACTGGCTCAACAGCTGGCACTGGAAATAGCTGTATTTCTGCACCTGAAGCAGGAATTGAAAAAGGAGAGAGGTCACCAATATCACTCACTTTCCACTGGAATTTCCAAACATGAAAACAACCTCACTGAATTTAAAGGAATTTCAGCCTGAAAACATTGTCCCTGGAAAGACTTCCAGACTGCAGGTGACCTCAGCATGTGCCTGTGTCTCAATGAGCTCCAGAGGCTCCAGCTGGACAAGGACAATGTGCGGATGTGGCCCTGGTGGGATCACTGGTGAGGCCTGGCCTGGTAGCTCCATCTGGGGCCTGATGTCTACCTGGTGACTCCTGTCCTGTGGTACTTGGGGGCACCTTCTGCTAAATGGCCAGAGGCATCTGGGGTGAGGGATGAGCCTACAAGGGCATTGTCAGAAAAGAAAGATTCTCACTCCTGCCATTCCTGAAGCAGGAGCCTTGAGATGTGGGGATGCAGCACAAGAACATCTTGCTGTCTTGAGCATCTCCCACCAAGTGAGCTGGCTATGGGGCTAACTCTAGGATGTGGGTGCCTGGTTATCGGGATTCTTTTTTTTTTTTTTGAGACATAGTCTCATTCTGTTGGCCAGGCTGGAGTGCAGTTTCATGATCTCAGCTCACTGCAACATCCGCCTACCAGGTTCAATCAATTCTCCTGCCTCAGTCTCCTGAGTAGCTGGGATTACAGGCACAAGACATGCACCACCACACCTGGCTAGTTGTTTTTTTTTTTTTTTTTTTTTTTTGAGACAGAGCCTCGCTCTGTCTCCCAGGCTGGATGGAGTGCAGTGGCGCGATGTTGGCTCACTTCAAGCTCCGCGTCCTGTGTTCATGCCATTCTTCTGCCTCAGCCTACCGAGTAGCTGGGACTACAGGCACCTGCCACTATGCCCGGCTAATTTTTGTATTTTTAGTAGAGATGGGGTTTCACTGTGTTAGCCAGTATGGTCTCGATCTCCTGACCTTGTTTGTTTTTTGTATTTTTAGTAGACATGTGCTTTTACCATGTTGGTCAGGCTGGTCTCGATCTCCTGATTTCATGATCCTCCTGCCTCAGCCTCCCAAAGTGCTGGGATTACAGGTGTGAGCCACCGTGCCTGGCCTGGTTTCCAGAATTCTAAGTTCCGTTAGGGTCTGTTGCCAAGGAAGTGAGGTCGCTTCTTTAAGGTTCTGTCCCCTTGGCCTCCTCCTTCCTGAAGACCTACTCAGGACCCCAGTGGGCTGCTGACTGCTCACCTTCCACACAGGTCAACTCCTTACCTGTACACAGTTATGTCCACCCAGGGCCTGCTTGGACACCTGCACCTGATGTTCACCAGAGGCCTAGGAATCCACTTGGGGCCTGGGAACCTACAGGGGCCTAATGTTACCCTGCAGATTGGGTAGCCACCTGGGGACCAGACATCAACCTGGGTACTGTGGTTGACCTGTGGGCTAATGTCCGGCTGGGGACTGGTTATTCACCTGAGGCCTGATGCTTACCTGGGGCCGAATGTCCCCCTCAGGGTGAATTCCACCTCAGGCCTGTATGTCCACCTGGGGCCTGATGTCTGCCTTAGATCTCTGTCCCACTGGGGCCTTGTGTTCACCAGGGACTGGTATCCAGCTGTGGCCTGATGACCTACTG
Source organism: Homo sapiens (assembly GCF_000001405.40). Classification (NCBI taxonomy): domain Eukaryota; kingdom Metazoa; phylum Chordata; class Mammalia; order Primates; family Hominidae; genus Homo; species Homo sapiens. Next base: position 12,937 of record NT_113888.1, read on the forward strand.
CATCCTGTTGCTCACCTATGGCCTGGTGTCTACCTGGGGCTTGGTGATCACCTGGGAGCTGGATATCAACCTGGGGCCTGGGTGTCCACTTAAGACCTGATGTGGGCCTGGGGCCTGACTGTCCACCCGGGGACTGGGTGTCCACCTGGGGTCTGATGTCCACCTGAAGTTAGGTATCTACCTAAGGCTTGGTGTCTACCTGTGACCTGATGTCCACATGAGTCTGGGGTTTGGTTGGGGCCTGCTGTACATCTGGGACCTTGGTGTCTATCTGAGGCCTGATGTCTACCTGGTGACTGCCATCCTCTTGAGGCCTGCTATCCACCTGGGAATGGTTTATCCATGGAAATGGTTATGTCCACCTGGGGCTGGATGTTGCCCAGCGGCTAGATGTCCACCTGTGGCCCCGTGTCCACCTAGGGCCTGATGTCCACCTGGGGCATGGTGTTCACCTGAGACCCGGGTGTTTACATAGGGCCTCATGTCCAGCTGGTGCCTAGGTGCCCACTGGGGGCCTTGTGTTAACCTGGGGACTGGTATCCAGCTGGGTCCTAATGACCACCTGGGTTGAATTATTCACCTAGAGTTTGGTAATCACTTAGGGCTTGAGTGTCAGCCTTGGACCTGGTGTCCACCTGGGCCTTGGGTATCAAACTAGGGGTTTGGTATCCAGTTGAGACATCATTTGCACCTGGGGTCTGAGTGTTCGCATGAGGCCAGATGACCACTGGGGGCCTGAATGTCAACCTGGGTTCTGAAATTCACTGGAAGCCTAGGTATCTAGCTGGGGCCTGATGTCCACCTGGTACTAGGTGTCAACATGTGGCCTGATGTAAACCTCTAGTTGAGTGTCCACCTTGGGCCTGATGTCCACTGGGGGACTGATGTTCCCCTTTGATCTGATGTCTACCTGGAAACCGTGTATTCACCCATGGCCTGATGGTCACCTGGGGTTGAATGTCCAACTGTGGCCAGATGTGCACCCGGATCCTGGGCATCCACCTGGGGCCTGATGTTCATCTGGGGCCTGGAGTTCACCTGAGGCACGATGTCCACCTGAAGCCTAATGTTCATCTGAGCACTGAGTCTAATGTACTCCTGGGTTCTAGTGTCCTCTTGGGACCTGATGTCTACCAGATCCTGGTATCCACTTGGGGCCTGGTATCCACCTAGGACTTGATATTCACCTGGGGCCTGGGAATCCACTTGATAACTGGTGCCCATCAGGGTCCTATGTTCACCTTGGGACTGGGTAACCACCTGAGGCCTGATGTCCACTTAGGGCATAAGTGTTTAGCTGGGGTCTAGTGTTCACATAGGGTCTGATGTCAACCTTGAGCCCAGGTATTCACCAGGAGACTAGTGTCCAGCTGGGACCAGATGTTCACTTGGGGCCTGGTGTCAACTTGAAGCATGGTTGTCAACCTAGGACCTGATGTCTAGTCCAGTGTCCACCTTGGGCCTGTTTACTACCCGGGGCCTGTGTGTCCACATAGACCCCGATGTCAATCTGGTGCCTGGGTATTTACCGGAGGCCTGGATATTCATTGGTACATTATGTCTACTGGAGTCTTTGTGTCAATCTGAGCTCTGATGTCCACTTAGAGATTGGGTATCCACCTAAGGCCTGTTGTTTACATGGGGCCTGTAACACGAGGTTCCAGATGAACTCAGATGTCCACCTGAGGCCTGATGTCCACCTGAGTTCTGAGTGTTAACACAGGGCCTGCTGTCAACCTGGGACCTAAGTATTTACCTAGGGCCTGGGTGTCCACCTGGGGCCTGACTTCCAAATAGATCTTGTGTCAACAGGTGGCCTGATGTGCACTTTGGGCCTAGGTAACTTCCTGATGACTAATGCCCACATGGCTCCTAAGGACCATCTGAGGCCTGGTATTAATTTAGAGACTGGTATACACCTGGAGTCCAGGTATCCACTTGGGACCTGATGTTCACCTGGAGTGTACGAATTCACGTGGGGCCTGGTGTCCACCTTGAGTGTGTGTATCCAATTGAGTGCTGGTGTCCACCTGGAGTCCAGTGTATACCCGGGGACTGATGTACACATGGGGCCTGGGCATCCATCTAGGACCTGATATTCAGATAAGGGCTGGCGTTCTCCTGGCCTGGTGTCCACATGGAGCCTGGATATACACTTGGAGCCTGATGTCCCAGGTGGATACCTGGGCCCCAGTGGTCATCAGATCCTAGGAAACTCTCAGGCCCCAGGTGCACATAAAGCTCCAAGTGACCACCTAGGCCACAGGTTGATACACAGGGTCCAGGTGGACACTGGGTGCAAGATGAACACCAGGCCCCTGGTGAACACAAAGCCCCAGGTGTCTACCTAGTCCTCAAGTGGACATCAGGCACTAGATTGACACACAGGTACCAGGTGGACATCAGGCTGCAGGTGAACATCAGGCCTCAGGTGGTTGGGTTACTTATAGCATAGGTGGCCATCAGGTCCCAGGTCTATATCCACTCCCCACCTGAAAATCAGGATCCAGGTGGATACCCATATTCTAGGTGAACACCAGTTTCCAAATGGACATCAGGCTCCAAGTGAACACACAGGCCCCAGTTCAATACCAGCCTCAGGTAGACATCAGGACCCAGGTGGACCCCAGGCCCAATGTGCATGCCTAGTCTCTTGGAATACATCATTTTCAAGATGGACACCCAGATTCCTCGTAGACATCTGGTGCCAGGTGGATATCTGGCTGCAGGAGGACATCAGGCCCCAGGTGGAGACCCAGTACACAGGTGTAAATCAGGCTCCAGTATTTCATCAGGCCCCAGCTAAACACTTGACTAAAGGTGTGCATCAAGACCCAGGTTGACACCCAGGCTTCAGTGCACACTAGGCCCAAAGTGTACACCTGTGCCAAGGTGGGCATCAGGCCCAAGGTGTACACCAGACTCCAAGTGGACATCAGGTTCCAGGTTCCAGGTTGACACCAGTCTCTAAGTAGATCCTTAAGCCCCAATTGGTCATCAGGCCCAAGGTGGATAGATTGACCCCAGGAGGTCTCCAGGTCCCAGGCAGGCCTCAGGTGGACACTAAGCCCTAGATTAACACAAGGTCTGAGATGGTTTCAGCCCCTGTGTGGACTTTAGTCATAAGGAGCTTACCTAGGCCCTAAGAGGACATCAGGTCCCAGGTTGACACAATGAACCATGTAGAAGTCAGGCTCTAAGTAGACACCCAGGCCCTAGGTAAATACTTTGGTCCCAAGCCAACATCAGGCCCTATGTGGACACCCAGACTCCAGGCAGATGTCAGGCCCCAGGTGAACACTGAACTCAGGGTGGTCATCAGGCCCTAGGTTGACACATAGGCCACAGGTAGACAACAGGCATAGGTGAACTTCAGGCTAAATATGAACGTCGGGCTCCAGGAAGAAGTCTGTGCCCCAGTTAAACACCGGGTCTTAGGTAGACATCAGGCCTCAAATGGATGCCCAGGCCCCAGGTGGATATAAGGCCTCAGGCAAACACCAGATCCCAGGTAGACATTAGGCACAAGATGGACACTCAGGCCACAAGTGAACATCTGTTCCCAGATGGACATCCATCCCAAGGTGGACATCAGGCCAGAGATGTACACCCAGGCCCCAGGAGAACCCCAGGCCCCAGGAGGACACTCAAGCGCCAGAAGGACACCCAGTCCCTAGGTAACTAAAAGGCCCCAAGTGGACATGATGTTCCAGATGGATATGAGGCCCCAAGTGGATACTAGGCCCAGGTGGACCCCAGGCCTCAGGGGCACACCAGGCCCCAGGGGAACACCAGGCCCTGGGTAAGCATGCAGTCCCAGGTGGACATCAGGTGCCAGGAGGACACCAGGACCCAGTTGGTCATCAAGCCACAGCTGAACACCAGTTCCCCATGAACACCAGTCCTCAGGTGGGCACCTAGTCCTCCCGTGTGCATCAGGTGCCAGGCTGACATAGGCACCAGCTGAACTCTGGGCCTCAGGTGAACATCAGATCCCAGGTTGTCACCCAGGCCCCAAGTGAATACCAGGTTTTAGGTGGACACGAGGTCCTAGGTGGATGTCTATGCTCCTGGTGAACCTCAGGCCCTAGTGGACACTCAGGCCCTTTATAGACATCTGGCTCCTTGTGCACTCCCAGGGCCCAGGTAGACATGAGGCCCCAGAGGAAAACCAGTCCTTAGTCATCTAACACTGAATTCCCCTAGGGCTGGAGACTGAGTATTCACCTTGGGCCTAGGAATCTACCTGGGGCCAGATGTTGATCTGGGGCCTGATGTCTACTCAGATTCAGCTGTCCACTTAGGGTGGGGTGTTTTTCTGGGACCCAGAGTCTACCTGAAATCTTGGTATCAACCTGGGGCCTATGTGTCCACTTGGAGTCTGATGTGCACTTGAAGCCTGAATTTTCACCTAGGATCTGATGAGCACTTGGGGCGCAGGTTTCCATCTGAAAATCAGGCTCTAGTTATACATCTGGGCCCCAGGTATACCCTGGACACCGAAAGAACTCCAGCCCCTATCTTAACATGAGGTCCTAGGTGGATGCCCAGGCGTCATGTCTACTTTAGGCCTCAGGTAGACACGACTCCAGGCAGGCATCAGGCCTAATATTGGCTCTATGTCTCCACCCAAATCTCATGTTGAATTGTAATCCCCATGGGTTGAAGAAGGGGCGTGGTGAGAGGTGATTGAATCATGGGGGCAGACTTCCCACTTGCTCTTCTCGTGATAGACTTCTTACGAGATCTGGTTATTTGAAAGTGTGTAGCACATCCCCCTTCTCTCTCCCTCCTCCTCCCCCATGGTAAAAAGGGCTTGCTTCCTCTTGGCTTTACATCATGATTGTAAGTGTCCCAGGCCCGCCCAGTCATGCTCCCTATTAAGCCTGAAGAACTGTGGGTCAGTTAAACCTCTTTTCCTCATAAGTTGCCCAATATCAGGTAGTATTTTATAACAGTGTGAAAATGGACTAATACAAGACCTTAGGATAACAACCATGCTTCAGGCCATAGGTGGACATCTGGCTGCAACTGGACACTATTCCCCAGGTGGATACTTAGGCTCAAGGTTGACATTAGTCCCCAGGTAAACAACAAGCCCCAGGTGAATACCTATGCCCTAAGTAGACATCAGGCCTCAGGCTGACACTCAGTCTAAGCTCAACATTAGGCTCAGGTGGACACCCAGACTCCAGGTGGATACTAGACCCCAGGGGTACACCAGACTCCTGGTAAGCATAAGGCCCCAGGAGGACACTAGAATCCAGGTGTACATAAAGCCACTGGTTGACTCCAAGCCCTCAGATGAACACCAGGCCAACTAGTGGACATTAGGCACATGAGAATACTTGGGCACCAGGCAGGTATCAGGCCCCGGGTAAACATCAAACTTCAGGTGGACATCGTTCTCCATTTAAACTCTAGCCCCAGCTAAACATCAGGCTCCAGGTGGAAGCCCAGACCCCAGGTGCACTTCTGGCCACAGTTGGACATCTGTCCCCAGGTGAATATCAGACCATGGATGGATAGCAAGTCCCCAGGTGGACATCAGGTCAAAAGAGAATATAAGTCTCTAGGAAGACATCTGGCCCCAGGTGGATACTGAACTAGAGGTTTACATCAGACCCCAGATTGACATTCAGTCCCCAGGTGGTCATGACACCTCAATTGGACACCAAGTCCTCAGGTTGATAACCAAGTCCCAGGTGGACACTACGTCAAAGATGAACACAAGACCTAAGGTTGTCATTCAAGCCCCAAATGGACACCAGGCCCTAGGTGAATAATATGACCCAGGGGATGATTGGGACCCAGCTGCTTACCAGTCCCCAGGTTTACACGAGGCCCCAAGTAGGTTCCTAAGCTCTAGTTGAACATGAGGTCTCCAGTAGACACCCAGGACTAAGGTGGACATCAAGCATCAGATGGACGTCTGGCTGCGGATGAACATCAAGCCTCACATGGATACCTAGTCCGCAGGTAGGCATCAGGCCCCAGTTTGACATCAGTTTCTGGGTGGATCCTTAAGCCCCAGGTGGATATCCAGTGTCCAGCTGGACATCAGCCCCTCATGGACGCCCAGTCCCCAGGTGAATATCAGGTCTCAGGTGAACACAAGTCCTCAGGCAGACATCAGACACCAGGTGTACACTCAGACCCCAAGAGGACATCTGTCCCCAGGTTGACATCACTCTCAAGGTGTACATTAGGCCACAGATGTACACCCAGGTCCAAGGCAGACACGAGTCCCCAGTAAAACTCAAGGCCCCAGGAGGATACTCAAGCCCTAGGTGGATGCCCAGACCCCAGGTAATTACAAGGCCCCAGGTGGATACCAGATTCCAGATGAACATTAGGCCTCAAGTGGATACCTAGGCACCAGGTAGACACCAGGCCCCAGGTACATCCCCTGGTCTCAGGTGCACACTAGGTCCCCAGTGAACACTGGCTACAGGTAAGCACCCAGTCCAAGGTAGACATCATGACCCAGGTGGTCATTAGGCCACAGCTGAACACCAATCTTGAGTGAACACCAGATCCCAGGTGGGTACCTAGTCCAGGTGGATATTGGGCCCCAAGTGGACACCCAGCCCCCAGGTGAACATCAAGCTTCAGGTGGACATCATGCCTCAGGTGAACTCCGGGTCCCAGCCCAGCTGAACATCAGGCTGCAGGTGGATGCCTAGGTTCCAGGTGCACAACAGGTCACAGTTGGACATTCAGCCCCAGGTGAACATCAGGCCATGGGTGGATAAACAGTCCACAGGTGGACATCAGGTCAAAGGTGAACATCAGTACTCAGGTGGACATCAGGCTCCAGGTTGACATCAAGCCCAAGGTGGACACTGAACTAGAGGTTTACATCAGGCCCCAGGTTGACACCCAGGCTCAGGTGGACATTGGGCCCCAGGTGGATACCTAGGCCCCTAGTAAACCTCAGATTCTAGGTTGACATTCAGGCCCCCAGTAGTCATTTGGCCCCATGTGGACACTCAGGCGCCAGGTTCACATGATGTCTTAACTGGACACCAAGGGGCCAGTTTGATACCCAAGTCCTGTGTGGGTGCCAGGTCCAAGGTTACACTCAAGCCCCAAGTGGACACCAGGCCCTAGGTGAATAATACAACCCAGGTGGTCATTAGGCCCCAGAATGACACCAGCCCCCAGGTTAACAGGAAGCCCCCAGTGGGTACTTAGGCCCCAGGTGGACATCAGGCCTAATGTGGACACCCAGGATCAAGATGGACATCAGGACTCAGGTGGACATCTGGTGACAGGTGGACAACAAGCCTGGTGTGTACCTTGTCCCCGGGTGGTCATCAGGCCCCAGTTCAACACCAGTCCCTGGGTGGATTCCTCGGCTCCAGGTGGACATCCGGTCTTCAGCTGAACATCAGACCCCAGGTGAACACCAGGTTTTAGGTGGACATTAGGCCCCTGGTGGACATAAAGTACCAGTGGACATCCATGCTGCAGGTGGACACCCAGCGCCCAGATGGGCATCAGGCCCCATTTGGACATTGAGGCCCCAGGTGGATATCAGGCCTCAGGTGAACCCAAGGTCCAACATAGACATCAGGCCTTAGGTTGACACTCAAGCACCAGATGGACTGCTGCACCTAAGCAGAAAATAGACCCCTATCTGGATATCTAAGATACAGGTATACAACAAGCCCCAGGCTGACATCCAGACCCCAGGTGGACACCATACCCCAGCTGAACAGCAGGCAACAGTTTGGCACCAAGTACCTAAGTGGAACAAAGCCTTAGGTGATTACCAGGCCATAGGTAGTCATTAGTCTCCAGCTGGACAATAGTCCCTAGGTGGATACCTAGGCCCCAGGTGGACACTAGATCCCAAATTAACACAAAAACCAAGTAAAAAATCAAGCCCCCAGTGGACAACCAGGCCCTAGGTAAATACACAAATCTCAAGCTGACACCAGGCCCTATTTGGACACCCAAGCCCTAGGTGGACTTCAGGCCACAGGTGAACACTGAACTCTAGAAGGTCTTCAGGCCCTGTGTTGACTACCTGGCCCCAGGGGGACACCAGGCATAGATGAACTTCAGGCACCAGCTGTACATCAGGTTCCAGGCAAATGTCCCAGCCCCAGGTGGATATCAAACCTCAGATGAACACCAGGCCCCAGGTAGACATCAAAAACCAGGTGGACACTCAGGCCCCTACTGAATATCCATCCCCAGGTGGACATCCATCCCAAGGTGGACATGAGGCCACAAATGTACACTTAAGCCTAAGGCAGACCCCAGGCCCCAGGAAAACTCCAGGCTCCATGAGAGCACTCAGACCTCAGGTGGATGCATTGGTCCTAGGTAAATACAAGGCCCCAGACAGACATCAGGCCCCAGTGAACACCGGAGCCCAGGTGGGTACCTAGTCCCCAGGTGTGCAACAAGCAGAAGGTTGACCCAGTCCCTAGCTGAACTCTGGGCCCCAGCTGAACATGATAACCCAGATGGTCACCCAGGCTCCGGGTGAACACACGGTCTTAGGTAGACATCAGATCCCACATGAACACTCAAGCCCCAGGTAGATATCAGGCCTTAGGTGTACACCAGACCTCAGGTGGGCATCTGGCTCCAGATGGCCATAGATGGATAACTAAGCCTCTCCTGGATATCAGGCCCCAGGTAGACACCAGGCTCCAGGCGAACATCTAGCCCCAGGGGGACATCCAGCCCCCGGTGAACATCAGGGCTCACATGGATAAACAGTTTACAGATGGGCACCTGCCACAGGTGCCTCACCTCTACTCCCTGAAACCTCACTTCCCCTCATGGGCCTTCTGTCCGACTTGGGGTACCCCTAGCCGCCCTAGGCACACACTGGACTCGAACCAGGGGCGCCAGCGTCCCTGGGGCTCAGCGCAAGGGTTCATGGGAATACACTTTCGTCCGTGGGGGACCCAGTCCTCACTTCTCGGCGGCGCAGTTTTTTTTTCTCTGTCTCAGGTGCCTCACCTTCCCCTCATGGGCCTTCTGTCCACCTTGGGGTACCCCTAGCGGCCCGAGGCATACCCTGGGCTCGAACCAGGGATGCCAGGGTCCCCGGGGCGCAGCGCAAGGGCTGATGGGGAGACACTTTCTTCCGTGGGGGACCCAGGCCCCGTTTCTCTGAGGCGCGTTTTTTTTTTTTCTGCCCCAGGTGCCTCACCTTCACCTCATGGGCCTTCTGCCCGCTTTGGGGTACCCCTAGCGGCTCCAGGCACAAGCTGGGCTCGAATAAGGGTCGCCAGGGTCCCCGGGGCCCAGCGCAAGGGTTGATGGGATGACACTTTCACCCATGGGGGACCCAGGCCCCGCTTCTCCGCAGCGCGTTTTTTTTTTTTTATTTGCCCCAGGTGACTCACCTTCCCCTCATGGGCCTTCTGTCTGCTTTGGGTTACCCCTAGCAGGCCAGAGGTGCACCCTGGATTCCAGCCAGGGATGCCAGGGTCCCCGGGGCCCAGTGCAGGGGCTGATGAGAAGGCACTTTCGTCCGTGGGGTGCCCAGGCCCTGCTTCTCTGTGGCGCGGTTTTATTTTTTTCTTTTCTGCCTCAGGTGCCTTACCTCTCCTCCCTCAAACCTCACCTTCCCCTCATAGGCTTTCTGCCCGCCATGGGGTACCCCAAGAGGCCCGAAGCGCACCCTTGTCTTGAACCAGGGATGCCAGGGTCCCCTGGGCCCAGCTCAGGGGCTGATGGGAAGACACTTTCGTCCGTGGGGGAACCAGGCCCCGCTTCTCTGCGGCACAGTTTTTTTTTTTTTTTCTGCCTCAGGTGCCTCACCTTCCCCTCATGGGCCTTCTGCCCGCTTTTGGGTACCCCTAGCGAGCCCAAGGCGCACCCTGGGCTCGAACGAGGGTCGCCAGGGTCGACGGAGCCCAGCGCAGGGGCTGATGGGAAGACACTTTCATCCGTAGGGGACGCAGGCCCCGCTACTCCGTGGTTCGGTTTTTTTTTTTTCCTCTGCCCCAGGTGCCTCACCTTTCCTCCCTCAAACCTCACCTTCCACTCCTGGGCTTTCTGCCTGCGTTGGAGTACCCCTAGCGACCCGAGCGCACCCTGGGCTCGAACCAGGGATGCCAGGGTCCCTGGGGCCCAGTGCAGGGGCTGATGGGAAGACACTTTCGTCCGTGGGGGACCCAGGGCCCGCTTCTCGGCGGCGCGGTTTTTTTTCTCTGCCCCAGGTGCCTCACCTTCCCCTCAGGGGCCTTCTGCCTACGTTGGGATACCCTAGCAGTCCCGAGGTGCACCCTGGGTTCAAACCAGGGACGCCAGTGTCCCCAGGGCCCAGCGCAGGGGCTCATCGGAAGGCACTTTCTTCCGTGGGGTACCCAGGCCCCGCTTCTAGGCGGAGCGGTTTTTAATTTTTTTCTGTGCTCCAGGTGTCTCACCTTCCCCTCATGGGCCTTCTGCCCGCCTTGGGGTACCCCTAGCAGGCCGAGGCGCACCCTGGGCTCTAACCAGGGATGCCAGGGTCCACAGGCCCAGCTCAGGGGCTTATGGGAAGACACTTTCGTCTGTGGGGGACCCAAGCTCTGCTCCTCTGCAGGTTTTTTTTTTTTTTCTCTTCCCCAGGTGCCTCACCTTCCCTTCATGGGCTTTCTGCCCGCCTTTGGGTACCCCTAGCGGGCCCGAGGCCCACCCTGGTTTGGAGCCAGGGATGCTAGTGTCCCTGGGGCCCAGCGCAGCGCTGATGGGAAGGGACTTTTGTCCGTGGGGAACCCAGGGCCCACTTCTCCGAGGTGAGCTTTTTTTTTTTTTTCTGCCGCAGGTGCCTCACCTCTCCTCCCTCAAACCTCACCTTCCCCTCATGAGCCCTCTGACCGCCTAGAGGTACCGCTAGCGGCCCGAGGCACACCCTGTGGCTGAACCAGGGACGCCAGGATCCCTGCAGCCCAGCACAGGCGCTGATGGGAAGACACTTTCGTTCGTGGAGGACCCAGGCCCCGTTTCTCAGTGGCTTGTTTTTTTTTCTCTGCCCGGGTGCCTCACCTTCCTCTAATGGGCCTTTTGCCCGCTTTGGGGTACCCCTAGCCGGCCCTATTCGCACCCTGCGCTCGAACCAGGGTCGCAGTGTCCAAGAGGTCCAGCGCAAGGCGTGATGGGAAGGCACTTTCGTCAGTGGGGGACCCAGGCCCCGCTTCGCTGCGGCGCCTTTTTTTTTTTCTGCCACAGGTACCTCACCTTCCCCTCATGGGCTTTCTGTCCGCCTTGGGGTACCCCCAGCTGCCCAAGGCGCACCCTGGGCTCAAACCAGGGATGCCAGTGTCCCTGGGGCCCAGCACAGGGTCTGATGGGAAGGCACTTTCTTTCATGGGGAACCCAGGCCTCCCTTCTCCGTGGCGAGGTTTTTTTTTTTTTTCTCCGCTCCAGGTGCCTCACCTTCCCTTCATGGGCTTCTGCTCACTTTGGGGTACTGCTAGCGGCCCGAGGCACACACTGCGTTTGAACCAGGGTCACCAGGGTCCACGGGGCCAAGCGCAGGGGCTAATGGTAAGGCACTTTTGTCTGTGGGGGACCCAGGACCCCCTTCTCCGTGGCGCGTTTTTTTTTTTTTTCTCCCACAGGTGCCTCACTTCTCCTCCCTCAAACCTCACCTTCGCCTCATGGGCCTTCTGCCTGCCTTGGGATACCCCTAGCAGCCCGAGGCGAATCCTGGGGTCGAACCAGGGACGCCAGGGTCCCTGGGGCCCAGTGCAAGGGCTGATGGGAAGATACTTTCTTTCGTGGGGGCCCAGGCACCGCTTCTCCACGGCGCATATTTTTTTTCTTTCGGCTGCCCCAGGTACATCACCTTCCCCTCATGGGCCATCTGCCTGCTTTGGGGTACTCCTAGTGGAGTGAGGCGCACCCTGGGCTCGAACCAGAGTCATCAGGTTCCCTGACGCCCAGCGTAAGGGCTGATGGGAAGACACTTTCGTCTGTGGCGGACCCAGGCCCCGCTTCTCAGCGGCGCGGTTTTTTTTTTTCTTGCCACAGGTGTCTCACCTCTCCTCCCTCAAACCTCAACCTCCCCTCATGGGCTTTCTACCTGCCTTGGGGTACCCCTAGCGGCCCAAGGCGCACCCTGGGTTTGAGTCAAGGTCGCCAGGGTCCACGGGGCTCAGCACAGGGCCTGATGGGAAGGCACTTTCGTCTGTGGGGGACCCATGCCCTGCTTCTCCGTGGCGCGTTTTTTTTTTTCCTTCCTGCCACAGGTGCCTCACCTCTCCTCCCTCAAACCTCACCTTCCCCTCATGGGCCTTCTGTCTGCATTGGGGTACACCTAGCAGCCCGAGGTGCACTGTGGACTCCAGGGTCCCTGGGGCCCAGCGCAAGGGCTGATGGGAAGACACTTTCGTCCGTGGGGGGGACGCAGTCCCCGCTTCTCCGCGGCGAGGTTTTTTTTTTTTCTCTGCCCCAGGTGCCTCACCTTCCCCTCATGTGCCTTCTGCACGCTTTGGGGTACCCCTAGCGGCCCAAGGCGCACCCTGGGCTCAAACAATGGAAGCCAGGTTCCACGGGGCCAAGCGCAGTGGCTGATGGGAAGACACGTTCTTCCTCGGGGACCCAGGCTCGGCTTCTCTGCGGCGTTTTTTTTTTCTTTTCCCCAGTTGCCTCACTTTCCCGTCATGGGCTTTCTGCCCGCCTTGAGGTACCCCTAGCGGGCCCGAGGCGCACCCTGGTTTCGAGCCAGAGACGCTAGGGTCTCCGGGGCCCAGTGCAGGGCTGATGGGTAGGGACATTCGTCCGTGGGGGACCCAGGCCCCACTTCTGGGCGGCGCAGTTTTTTATTTTTTTCTCTGCCCCAGGTGTCTCACCTTTCCCTCATGGGCCTTCTGTCTTGGGGTACCCCTAGCAGGCCGAGGTGCACGCTGGGTTCCAGCCAGGGATACCAGGGTCCCCAGGGCGCATTGCAAGCGCTGATGGGAAGACAGCTTCTTCTGTGGGGGACCCAGGCCCCGCTTATCCGCGGCGCGGTTGTTTTTTTTTTTTCTCTGCCCCACGTGCATCACCTTCCCCTCATGGGCCTTCTGCCCGCTTTTGGGTACACCTAGCGGCCTGAAGCACACCCTGGTCTCGAACCAGGTACGCCAGGGTCCCCTGGGCCCAGCGCAAGAGCTGATGGGAAGACACTTTCGTCCGTTGGGGACCCAGGCTCCGCTTCTCCGTGGTGCAGTTTTTTTTTTTTTTCCTGCCACAGGTGCCTCACCTCTCCTTCCTCAAACCTCAACTGCCCCTCAGGGATTTCTGCCCACCTTGGGGTACCCCTAGCAGGCCCGAGGCGCACCCGGGGCTCGAACAGGGTCTCCAGCGTCCACAGGGCCCAGCGCAGGGACTGATGGGAAGGCATTTTCATCCGTCGGGGACCCAGGCCCAGCTTCTCCTAGGCGCGGCTTGTTTTTTTTTTTTTTTTTTTTTTCCTGCCACAGGTTCCTCACCTCTCCTCCCTCAAACGTCAACTTCCCATCATGGGCTTTCTGCCCGACTTGGGGTACCCCTAGCAGCCCAAGGCGCTCCCTGGACTCGAACCATGGATGCCAGGGTTGCCGGGGCCCAGCACAGGGGCTGATGGGAAGGTACCTTCATCCGTGGGTACCCAGGCCCCGCTTCTCAAAGCTGCGGTTTTTTTTCTCCACCCCAGGTGCCTCACCTTCCCCTCATTGGCCTTCTGCCTGCTTTGGGGTAACACGAGCGGGCCCAAGGCGCTCCCGGGTCTCGAACCAGGGTCGCCAGGTTCTCAAGGCTAGCGCAGGAGCTGATGGGAAGGCACTTTCATCAGTGGGGACCCAGGCCCGGCTTCTCCGAGGCGCTGATATATATATATATATAATTTTTTTTTTTTCTGCCACAGGTGACTCACCTCTCCTCCCTCAAATCTCACCTTCCCCTCATGGGCTTTCTGGCTTCCTTAGGGTACTCTAGCGTGCCGGAGTCTCTTCTGGTCCTTGAACTAGGGTCGCCAGGGTCCAGGAGGCCCAGCGCAGGGGCTGATGAGAAGGCACTTTCGTCTGTGGGAGACCCAGGCCCCGCTTCTCCTCGGCACGTTTTTATTTTTCTGCCGCAGGTGCGTCACCTCTCCTCCCTCAAACCTCACCTTCCCCTCATGGGCCTTCTGCCTGCTTTGGGGTACACCTAGCGGGCCCGAGGTGCACCCAGGCCTAGAACCAGGGTCGCCTGGGTCCACGGGGCCCAGCGCAGGGACTGATGGGAAGGCACTTTTTTCCATGGGAGACCCAGGCCCCGCTTCTTCGTGGCGTGGTTTCTTTTTCTTTTCTGCCACTAGTGCCTCACCTCTCCTCCCTCACAGCTCACCTTCCTCTCATGGGCTTTCCACCGCGTTGGGGTACCCCTAGTGGCCCAAGGCTCTCCCTGAGCTCAAACCAGGAACCCCAGGTTCCCCGGTACCCAGCACAGGGGCTGATGGGAAGGCACTTTCATCCGTGGGGGACCCAGGCCCCACCTCTCCACGGCGCGGGTTTTTTCTTTCTTTTTCTGTGACAGGTGCCTCACCTCTCCCCTCAAAACTCACCTTCCCCTCATGGGCTTTGTGCGCCCAAAGCCCCCCTTGGGGTTCACTTAGCGGCTGAGGCACACCCTGAGCTCGAACAAGGGACACCAGGGTCCCCGGTCCCAGTGCAGGGACTGATGGGAAGACACTTTCGTTCGTGGGGCACCCAGGCCGTGCTTCTCCGCGGCGAAGTTTTTTTTTTTTTCTCTGCCCCAGGTGCCTCACCATCCCCTTAGGGGCTTTCTGCCCACCTTGCAGTACCCCTACTGGCCCGAGGTGCACCCTGGGGTCAAACCAGGGATGCCAGGGTCCCCAGGGCCCAGCGAAGGGGCTGATGGGATGGCACTTTCATCCGTGGGGGACCCAGGCACTGCTTCTTGGTGGCACGTTTTTTTTTCTCTGCCTCAGGTGCCTCACCTTCCCCTCATGGACCTTTTGTTCGCTTTGTGGTACCCCAAGCGGTCCCGAGGCGCAACCTGGGCTCGAACCAGGGTCGCCAGGGTCCACCACGCCCAGCATAGGGCCTGATGGGAAGGCACTTTCATCCGTGGTGGACCCAGGCCCCACTTCTCTGAGGCGCGGTCCTCTTTTTTTTTTTTTTCTGCCCCTGGTGCCTCACCTCTCCTCCCACAAACTTCAACTTCCACTCATAGGGCTTCTGTCCGAGTTGGGGTACCCCTAGTCGCCCGAGGCGCACCCTGGGCGTGAACCAGGGATGCCAGGGTCCCTGGGGCGCAGCGCAAGGGCTGATGGGAAAAAACTTTCGTCTGTGGATGACCCAGACACCGCTTCGCGGCGCATTTTTTTTTTCTTTGCCCCAGGTGTCTCACCTTCCCCTCATGGACCTTCTGACTTTCTGCACCTGCTCCGGCGCTGTGGGCCTCCCTGCGCCTGCGCCGGCGCTGTGGGCTCCCCCCCCCCCCGGCGCCTGCGCCGGCGCTGTGGCCCCCCGCCCCCCGCGCCTGCGCCGGCGCTGTGGGGCCCCCACCCCCCTGCGCCTGCGCCGGCGCTGTGCAACTTTGCGAGGGCGGAGCTGCGTTCTTCCCAGCACCGACACGGAGAGCATCGCCGGGGCGGAGCTGAGTTCTCCTCTGCACACACTTCGGAGATACAGCAAAGGCGGAGCAGTGTTCTCCTCAACACAGACCTGGGCAGGCCGGGGTCTCCATGAGGGCGGAGCTGCGTTCTGCTCAGCACAGACCCGGGGGACACCGCGAAGGCAGAGTAGCGTTCTCCTCAGCACAGACCTTGGGGGCACTGCCTCGCTTTGGGACAACTCGGGGCCGCATAGACGCTGAATAAAATCCTTCCTGTTTGCAGCCCTGAGTAATCAGGGTCAGCGACCAGTAAGAAGGGTTCAGTGTGGAAAAGGGAAACCAAAAGCCCCTCTGAATCCTACCCACCGAGGTTCTCCCCAGCCAAGGCGAGGCGCCGCAGTGCGAGATCCACACCGCAGCCTCAGAAGACAAATGCAACATTCCTAATGCGGACATGACACCCAAAATATGACACGCCCATTGCTCATGTAACAAGCACCTGTAATGCTAATGCACTGCCTCAATACAAAAATATTAATATAAGATCCGCAATCCCCTTGCTGCCATGCAGTCCTAAGACAGATCATAATAATTAACATTGACATAGTCAATACAAACGTAGTAACGAACCTAGGGTTAAGGTTGGTGTTAGGGTTAGGGGTTAGGGGTTAAGTTTAGGGTTAGGGGTTGGAGATAGGTGTTGGGGTCAGAGTTAGGAGTTAAGAGTCAACGTTTAGAGTTAAGGGTTAAGAGAGGTTAGGGGTTAGGGATAAGGGGTTAGGGTTGGATTAGTGTGAGGGTGAGGGTTGTTGTTAGGGGTTAGGCTTAGGGGTTACAGTTAAGGGTTAAGGGTTAGGGTTAGGGGTTAGGGTTAGGGTCAGGGGTTAGGGGTCAGGGGTTAGGGGTCAGGGTCAGGGGTCAGGGTCAGGTTCAGGGGTCCCACTCTGTGAGTTGTCTATTTACTCTGCTGACTGTTCCCTTTGCCATGCAAAAGCTGTTTAATTAAGTCCCAGCTATTTATCTTTGTTTTTATTGTATTTGCATTTGGGTTCTTGGTCATGAAATCCTTGCGTATGTCAATGTCTAGAAGGGTTTATCCAGTGTTATCTTCTAGAATTTTTATAGTTCAGGAATTAGATTTAAGTTCTTAATCCATCTTGAGTAGATTTTTGTATAAGATGAGAGATGAGAATCCAGTTTTATTCCCCTACATGTGGCTCACCAATTATCCCAACATCATGTATTGTAAAGGGGGTCCTTTCCCCACTTTATGTTTTTGTTTACTTTCTCGAAGATCAGTTGGCTGTAAGTATTTGGTTTAATTTCTGGATTGTCTCTTCTGTTCCATTGGTCTATGTTCCTATTTTTAAACCAGTACATTGGTGTTTTGGTAACTATGGCCTTATTGTACAGTTTGAAATCAAGTAGTGTGATACCTCCAAGTTCTTTTTGCTAAGGCTTGGTTTGGCTACATGGCTCTCTTTTGGTTCCATATTAATTTTAGAATTGTTTTTGTAATTCTGTGAAGAATGATGGTGGCATTCAGATGGGGATTGCATTGAATTTGTAGATTGCCTTTAACAGAATGGTAATTTTCACAATATTGGTTCTACCCATCCATGAGCATGGGGATGCGTTTCCATTTGTTTTTGTCATCTATGACTTCTTTTCTTTCTTTTTTTTTTTTTTTTTTCCAGAGGGAGTTTCGCTCTTGTCGCTGAAGTGGGAGTGCGATGGTGTGATCTCGGCTCACTACAACTTCTGCCTCCCGGGTTCAAGCGATTCTCCTGCCTCAGCTTCCCGTGTAGCTCGGATTATACGCATGTGCCACCGTTCTTGGCTCCATCTATGATTTCTTTCAGTAGTGTTTTGTAATTTTCATTGTAGAGGTCTTTTGATTCCTTTGCTAGGTATATTCCTAAGTTTTTTGTTGTTGTTGTTGTTTTTTGCAGCTATTGTAAAAGGGGTTGAGTTCTTGATGTGATTCTCTGCTTGGTAGCTGTTGATGTATAGAAGAGCTACTGATTTGTGTCCATTAATCTTGTATCTGGAAACTTTGCTGAATTCTTTTATCAGTTCTAGGAGCTTTCTAGAGGAGTCCATAGGGTTTTCTACGCAAAAGATCATATCATCAGCAACAAGTGACAGTTTGACTTCCTCTTTACCGATTTGGATTTCCTCTATTTCCTTCTTTTGTCTGATTGCTCTGGCTACGACTTCCAGTACTATGTTGAAGAGGAGTGGTGAGAGTAGGCTCCTCGTCTTGTTCCAGTTCTCAAAGGGAATGCTTTCACTGTTTCCCCATTCAGTATTATGTTGGCTGTGGGTTTGTCATAGATGGCTTTTATTACATTAAGGTATGTCCCTTGTATGCCTATTTTGCTGAGAGCTTTAATCATAAAGCAATGCTAGATTTTGTCAAATGTTTTTTCTGCACCTGTTGATATAATCATATTAGATTTTTTTAATTCTGTTTATTTGGTGTATCACATTTATTGACTTGCATATGTGAAACCACTCGTATATCATTGGTATGAAACCCACTTGATCATGGTGGATTATTTTTTGATATGTTGTTGGATTCAGTTAGATAGTATGTTGTTAAGGATTTTGGCATCTGCGTTCATCAAGGATATTGGTCTGTAGTTTTCTTTTTTGGTTATGTCCTTTCATGGTTTTGGTATTAGGGTGATGCTGGCTTCATAGAATGAATAAGGGAGGGTTTCTTCTTTCTCTGTCTTGTGGAATAGTATGAAAAGTTTGGTATCATTTCTTCTTTGAATGAAAGAAGACATTCTTTGAATGTCTGGTAGAATTCTGCTGTGAATCTGTCTGGTCCTCGGCTTTTTTTGCTGGTAATTTTAAAATTACCATTTCAGTCTTGCTGCTTGCTTTATTGGTCTGCTTGGGGTATCTAATTCTTCCTGATTTAAGCTAGGAGAGTTGTATTTTTCCAGGAATTTATCCAACTCTTCTAGGTTTTGTAGTTTATGTGCCAAAAGGTGTTCATAGTACCCTTGAATAATCTTTATTATTTCAGTGGTGTCAGTTGTAATATCCCCTGTTTCATTTCTTAGTGAGGTTATTTGGATTTTCTCTCTTCTTTTCTTGGTTAATCTTGCTAATGGTCTATCAATTTTATTTATCTTTTCAAATAACCAACTTTTTGTTTTATTTATGTTTTGTATTTTTTGTTGTTGTGTCAATTTCATTTAGTTCTGCTCTGATCTTGGTTATTTCCTGTGTTTGCTGGGATTGGGTTTGGCTTGTTCCTGCTTCTCTAGTTCCCTGAGATGTGAACTTAGATTGTCTATTTGTGCTCTTTCAGACTTTTTGACGTAGGTTTTTAGGACTACAAAGTTTGCTCTTAGCAGTGCCTATGCTGTATCCCAGAGGTCTTGATAGGTTGTGTCATCCATTTCGAAGAAATTTTTTACATTTCCATCTTGATTTCATTTTTCACCCAATGCTCATTCTGTGAGGAACAACCAAATTGTTTTCTGCAGCAAGGGCATCATTTTCTATTCCTAGCAGCCAGTTCATGAGGGCTCCAACTTCTCCACCTCCTTAGCAACATTTATTTTCTGTGTCATTGTTATGAAACCCTTACTTGTGGGTGCAGAGCGGCATGAATGAAGTCAATTAACATGTTTATTACCTCACAGAATAGTTACCTTTTTGTGTGCATGTGTGGGATAAGAAAACTTAACTCTATCCCCTGTGACTGAATAGTGGCCATTCCAGCTGCTCCAGGCTCCAGCAGAGGAAGACCGGGGTAGGTGGCTCCACCAGGGTGATCCTCAGGTCTGGCGCTCACACATTCCAGAGGCCACCCAGACCATGCTCCGCCGCCTGGGCGCCCAAGTTGCAGTCGCCCTCTGTGTGCAGGCAGCAGCTGCCTGGCAACCCCCGAGCCCGCTCGCGCTCCCACCATAATATCCAGGGAGGGAGAGAATGATTTTATTTTATTTTTTTTGAGACAGACCCTCGCTCTGTCGCCCAGGCTGGAGTGCAGTGGCCTGATCTTGGCTCACTGCAAGCTCCGCCTCCCAGGTTCACACCATTCTCCTGTCTCAGCCTCCCTAGTAGCTGGGACTACAGGCGCCCACCACCGCGCCCGGTTAATTTTTTGTATTTTTAGTAGAGACGGGGTTTCACCATGTTAGCCAGGATGATCTCGATCTCCTGACCTCGTGATCCACCCACCTCGGCTTCCCAAAGTGCTGGGATTACAGGTGTGAGCCACCGCGCCTAGCCAGAGAGAATGATTTTACTCCCCATATCGCAGGGGATTTACATTCCCCTGCGTTATTTTTCGTAATATCCAGGGGGAAGATGAAGATATTACTCCCCATATAGCATGGGAGAACAAATCCCTGCGATATTGTTCATAATATCTCTAGGGGGAGAGAATGATATTTCTCCTTTTATTGCAGGAAGTGTACACCCCCCTTGCGATATTGTTTATAATATCTAGTGGGGGAGAGGACGATGTTACTCCCCATATTGCAGGGTGTGTACAACCCCCTAGAATATTGTTCATAATATCCACGCGGGGAGGAGATGATGTTACTACCCATATCGCCAGGGTGTACTGCCCCCTGCCATATTGTTTGTAATATCCAGGCTGGAAAAGGATGATATTACTCCCTGTATCACAGGGGATGTACACCTCCCTGTGACGTAATATCCAGGGTGGGAGAGGAGTATATTACTCCCTATAAGGCAGAGTGTGTATACACCCCTCTGTGATATTGTTCATAATATCCACTGGGAGATATGATATTACTCCCAATATCGTAAACACCTCATGTGTACACCATCTGTGATATTGTTTGTAATATCCAGTAGGGGAGAGGATGATACTACTTTCCACATCCCAGGGGGTTTACACCCCTCTGTGATACAGTTTGTAATATCCAGATGGGGAGAGGGTTATATTACTCCTCATATCGCAGGACACGTACACCCGCCTGTGATATTGTTTGTAATATTGTTCCCAATATCATTTTCCCCCATGGATACAGGAACAACATCGCATAGGACTTGTACACCCCCTGCCATACTGGGAGTAGTAGTGTTTTATCCCTTGCTGGACATTAGGAACAATACCATGGGGGGGTGCACAGCCCCTGTGATATTGACAGTAATATAATCCACTATCCCCTAAATATAGGAAAAATATCACAAGAGGGATGTACACACTTGGTGATATTGAAAGTGATATGATCCTCTCCCTACCTGGATATTAGGAGCAATATCACAGAAGGGTTGTACACTCCCTGCGATATTGACAGTAATATCCTCTACCCCCCTGGATATTAGGAACAATATCACAGAAGAGGTGTACACCCACTGTGATACTGACAATTTCCTCTCCCCCCCTGGGGATATAAGGAACAATACCACGGGGGGGTGTACACCCCCTGTGATATTGACAGTAATATCATCCTCTCTCCCCCAGATATTAGTAACAATATCACTGAAGGGGTCTACAACCCCTGTGATATTGACAGTAATATCCTCTCCCCCCCAGATATTAGGAACAATACCATGGGAGGATGTACACCCCCTGTGTCATTGACAGTAATATCAACCTCTCCCCCCACCGGATATTAGAAAGAATACCACGGGGGCTGCACACCCCCTGTGATATTGGGAGTAATATCACCCACTATCCCCTAAATATTAGGAACAATATCACAAGGCGGGGAGAACACCCTCTGCGATATTGGGAGTAATGTCATCCTTTCCCTGCCCCTGCATACTAGGAATAATATCACAGGGGATGTACACCCCCATGCGCTATTGGGAGTAACATCACCCTTTCTTCCCATGGATATTAGAAACAATATCACAGAAGTGGTGTACACACGCTGCACTGTATAGAACAAAGCAGGCGGAGGAAGGTGGGATAACCTTGCTAGCTGAAGCTTCTGGCTCTCTTTTTTTCTTCTTCCCGTGCAGGAAACTTGCTTCCCTTCTTCCTGCCCTTGGACATGAGACTCCAGGTTCTTATGCGTTTGGACTCTGGGACTTGCACCAGTGGCTTCCCCGAGGCTCTCAGGCCCCCGGCCTCAGACTGAAGACTGCACTGCGGGCTTTCCTGGTTTTGAGGCTTTTGGACTTGGACTGAGCCACTACTAGCTTCTCTCTTTCCCTACCTGGCAGACAGCCTGTTGTGGGACTGCCTTCTAACCGTGTGAACCAATTCTCTCTGGTAAACTCCCTTATACATATACGTGTATCTTGTTGGTTCTGTCCCTCTGGAGAAACCTGACTAATACATTTTGTATATTTTTCCTCCACTGCCCTTTCCTCTGCTTCTAGGCTTACCTAGACCACCACCATTCTTTCCCCCTTTCTAAAGTAAAAGTTGTTTTTTTCTCACTAAATGCATGGTATTCTGCCCATTTTCCATGGCTTCCCTCAGCCCTGCTCTGTTTATTCTTGCTATCTTAAGAGGAAATCCCTGCCTCTTTCATGGCTTTTCCCACTTGGTCTACTTACTGGTTTCTGTTGTTCTCAGAGACACACTGAGACCTTTCACATCTCACTGTCACTTCTTGGAAGGGCTCTCTACCTCGTCTGCCTGCTGAGCAACCTCTTGGAGTGACGCGGGCACTCTTGAGTCACTGAACTTGAGCTATTTGGTGTTAGTATGTTAATTTATCTTCTTAGACCACTTACCACTTCCTTAACTTCAAAAGAAAAGAATAAGTATTATTTTCCATGGTTGATATGAAGAGTAGAAATAACTTATACAAAATACATTGCAGTTAAGTGATAATAAATGGCTGTGAATGTCCTTATTAATGTTATTCTATCAGTCTCAGCTCAGATACCATCTGCTCTGTGAGCTCTGCTCTGAATCATATCTGCTTCTTCTCTGGGTTCCTTGTGCTCTGTTCTTAACTACTTTAAAGCAGTAATTGTTCTGATTCTAATTAGTGATGCTTCCCAATAAAATTTTAATTTTGTAGATCTCTTCCCCCTACCCCTGCCCCAGCCTAACCAGTGTTTTCTTACTTTTTTGTGTACAGGCTACATCACTGGTCTTCTTTTATTTGTGGCTAAATAAATGTTGTGTTAGAAGAGTAAAGAGTTCCCAGTTACATGGGATCTATAGTTCTACAAAATGAATGTATACATAATCCATGTAAATACTTCACTTATTTTAAAACAATTTTTTAATTTTTAAATTAAATTTAATTTGTGCATGTGTGTGAGACCAGAGTGAGAACAGAGATGGCGGTGGTGAGGGGCAGTGGTCTCACCATGTTGCCCAGGCTAGTCTTGAACTCCCCTTCAAGTGCCACCCTCCTCACCTGGCCCCCCTCACCTTGCCTCCTCCCCTCTCACTCCTATGCCAACTCCTGCCATTCCCTACCCCCTCTGTAGACTGCAAGACTCATCAAGTGACTTGCTGAGCAAACTCTGCTGAGAAGAGATCTGTTTAGGGACACAGGAGGCCAAGTACACAAAAAAGCAAAAGAACTAGCATGCCTTTTTCAATGGATGTCTATTTTACAGGGCTGGCTTCAGATTATTATAGCTTTAAATAAAAGGACCGTTTTGTCATCTCGGCCCATGGCCTACATTATTTCTTTACTGTCCATTGCCCTGGGCACTTGACTAATAATTTAACAGCAGTTTTTTTTTTTTTTTTAAATCATGATTCATTGCATTGCTGTAAGAGTAATTAGAGGTAAAGTAGGGCTTGAAACTGCCTGTAGTTGGTTACTTACTGAGATCTTAGCATCATTGTCAGGTGAGAGGGTGAAGTTTTAATTAGCGCTAAGTGGGATAGAAATTCAATGCACTGAAACTGCAGTGTCCAATTCAGTAGGTGCTAGTCACCTGTAACTGTTGAGCACTTGTAATCCTGGCTAGTCCTAATTGAGATGTGTTGTGTTAAATACACTGGATTTTGTCGTTGGAGTGGGAAGAACAGTGTAGAATATCTGCTTGATTTTTTTTATATTTATTACATGTTAAAATTATTACTATGATTACTATTTGGGACATACTGAGTTAAGTATATTTAAAATTAATTTCACCTTTTCTTTTAATGGGGCTTACTAGTACATTTAAAATTACATACGTGGCTCACATATTTATTGGACAGCACAGCTCTAGAAGTTTAGGAAGAAATAAGAAAAATATTGAGAATAGGTAGCGACAGTAGGAAGTTTGACCTCCTGTAAGACTGATTCCAATAAAACTAATAGGTGATAGTTTTAATTGGCTTTTTCCTACTAGAAGAAGTAAGTGTACTTTACATGCCTCTTTGTTCTCCCTCTTTCCCCTTCAATTTAGTGGTTAGCGTGTATTTACTACATCAGGCTTAATATTCACTAAACAGTGTTAGGAAGACTTAGGTAAATGATTCCCTGATGAACACACTTGATATTCAAAGCACTTTCCTAACCCATTTTTAATTGGAATAGAGTCAAATGTAGATGGCTTATTAGTAGTCATCTCATTTAAATCTCATGGAATTTTCCTACTAAATCTCAAAGTAAACAATTTGTTATAGGCTGTTTTGTCAAGTTTATGGAAGGGACAGCATAGGACATGTGGTACTTCATTTCCAAATTGCTTGAGATGGTTTTCATTATAATCATACATTATTTGCTTCTGGTTTTCCAGAAAAGCCAGCTAAACCTGTGGTTCATTTAGATATAAATGAAATATCCACAAAGGATTGCTCAAAGTGACTTATGCAACTTGAATATATATTTTTTCTGTAGGGTGTTTATTCCAAATTATCTGGCCATTTGCTGCAATTTGCAGTTTTTTAGAAAACACCAAATATTTCTCAAGTTAGAGATGTTTTAATAAAAACAGTCATATTGTACTGGCAGCAGACAAATAAAATGGCCCTTTATTTCACAGTTGAGAATTTGAAATTGGAAGGTAATTAACATATGTAAGGATGATGTATTTGCTGCCTGGCTTATAGGAATGAGCCAAGTTGTTTTTTGAGGTATGTTGTTGCTGTGTATGTCCCACCTATTTTGCTTCCTTAATGAACAATGCAAGTTTGAGACAGAAATATTTGAGAACATTTTTATCAGTTGTGACATTTTGATAGTGAACATTTTATATCTTCTGTCAACTTAAAATGTTTGCATCTTCTGTCAGCTTAAAATGTTTAATTTGTTATAGCCAAATAATTTGGCTATAATTGATAATTTAATTTATCAAATTAAATTGCTTTTTTTCCCTTTAGACTTTCTTCAGTCACATCTGAATAAATCCCTTAGAAGTAAGCTAGATGTAATATAATGAAATGCTTAAAAGGGCTGTGTATCTTCATATTACACTTACAGTGATTTTCTCTTGTGCCCATTATATTCTACCTGCAGCTAGTTGAGGTAAAGAGAGGGCATTTAACTGTCAAGGGAACCTGTGAGGAGACTGTAGAAATCTGGAAAGTCTCTTGAGTCTTTGAGGGATTTTGGGATGCAGAGAGTGGGGCTGGGATCTCTGGCTAGGTTGGAGCCAGCCTGCATTTGTATCTTTATCTTGGAAGCAAACTTAGAATGCAGAGATAGATGTGGCCTGGATGCTGCTAACTCTAGCCAACCACTAAATCTTAAGGTGGGAGAGATGCAGCCTTTGGCTGGGTGCTAAGCTGCTGTAGCTGGTTGAATGTAGAGGTCACTATCTTTTCTGAATATTTGTAAGTAAATTAAATCATTCTTTACTCCTGTATGCCTGCCAACCAAATGGGAAATCGCTATAGAAAAGATGGTTTAAATTTTAGTCTTTGAAGTGGTTTATGCACGTTTCTGGAATCAAGATTTAACACGGACTTGGATTGGATATTGAATATTTTTGATTTGTCTACTTTTCTCTCCATAGGGAGCTTATAGCTTCATTGCACTGTGTGTGGCATTTGGGTCCTGTTTGACAGCAATGACTGCCTTTTTGTTTAGTGTCTGTGTGCTATGAAGATTGCACACAGGGGTCCAGATGCATCCTGTTTTGAGAATGTTAATGGATACACCAGCTGCTGCTTTGGATTTCACCCATTGGTGGTAGTGGACCCGCTGTTTGGAATGCAGACAATTTAAGTGAAGACATATCCATATATGTGGCTCTGTTACAATGGTGAAATCTACAACCATAAGAAGGTAGGGGAAAAGAAGCCAGATGTGTGGATGTGATTAAACTTCAGAGCTTGTTGGTTACGATGAGATTATATATTCTGTATCATGCTTTTTACTTTGCAAAGCATTCTATGTTATCTCATTTGCTCTAAGTATGTAGATAGGGAACTGATGAATAAAATGGTGAGTGAAATCACTTGGTCACAAAAAAGTGATAAAAATGGGGATTACACAGTTTCTTTGACTCTTAGAATTTTTTCTCCTTCTCCCCAGCTTTTTGTTTTGAAAAAAATTCTAACATACAGAAAAGAACAGAATAGTGAGCACCTAGATTGAATAATCATTAATGTTTTGCCATATTTGCTTGATTTTTCTTTCTACACACACACACATACACACACACATACACACACACACACAGTTTTTTGCCAAATCATTTGAGAGTATGGTGCAGATTTTGTGACACTCCTAAATATATAAGCATTTATCTCCTAAGAATAAGGACATTTTTCTACATAACATCAATACCATTATTAAACCTAAGAATCCATAATATCACCTGGCTGGGTGCGGTGGCTCACGCCTGTAATCCCAGCACCTTGGGAGGCTGAGGTGGGTGGATCACGAGGTCAGGAGGTTGAAACCATGCTGGCTAGCACGGAGAAACCCCATCTCCACTAAAAATACAAAAATAAAAAAAATCAGCCAGGCGTGGTGGTGGGCACCTGTAGTCCCAGCTACTCGGGAGGCTGAGGCAGGAGAATGGTGTGAACCTGGGAGGTGGAGCTTGCAGTGTGCTAAGCTTCAGCCACTGTACTCCAGCCTGGGAGACAGAGCAAGACTCTGTCTCAAAAATGAAAAAAAAAAATCATAATGCCACCTAATATCCAGTTAATACTTAAATTTCGCTAAGTGTCTGGAGAATTTTTTTGTTTTTTGAGACAGAGTCTCAACTTTGTCACCCAGGCTGGAGTGCAGTGTTGCGATCTCGGCTCACTGCAACCTCTGCCTCCTGGGTTCAAGCGATTCTCCTTCTTCAGCCTCCTGAGTAGCTGGGACGACAGGCCCACCTGTCACCATGCCTGGTTAATTTTTTGTATTTTAGTAAAGACTGGGCCCAGGGTGGTCTGGAACTCCTGAGCTCAGGGAATCTGCTCACCTTGGCCCCTCAAAGTGCTACCAAGAATATCTTTATAGCTGGTATTTGTTTGTTTAGAGCCAGATTTCATTCAAGATTCATGCATTTGGTTGTGATGTTTCTTGGTATTTTTTCTGAGACTTCTTGATAGATACCTGTCAGGCACTGATAGAGAGTTATATCCTAACCATGTTTTGGACATTTTTATCTCTGAATAATAGCTTTTGTCATTGTTTGTTGCCTGCTCACGGGAACACTCTTAATAATAGTCTTCTTGTTCAAAAAGTTTTAAAATAGTTATTCAAGAAATTCCTTTCACACATTTCTTTATTCCTTTATTAAGGACCTAATATGCACCAGATATCATTTTTCTAGGTGATTGTAGATGAAATGGTGAAAAGGAAAGGCAAGAATGGAATTTCCTGCTAGTGGGAAGTAGAAGAGAGTATTAAAACTTTTTTCTTTCTAAGTCAAATCAGTGTCATATGCATGAGAAAGCTAGGTAGTATGATGGCATTATCAGCTTGGCTTTCTCCTTAAATGAAATAGGAAGTGCTCTGTTTTACTCAGATAGTGTTTTTTTTTCTAAAAAGCTAAAATAAGTTAAATATTTTGAAATTAATTAATTTCTGTTCTAAATTAGTCAAAAGTTATATTTGTAAAACTAGAGAAGTTTGTTCCATTGCTTCTACCAAGCATCTCAGCTTATGTAGTTGGGGCAGCTAGAAATCTAATGAACAGAATGCATATTTTAGGCTTATATAAAGTATTCTGCAACATAAGGTCAAAAATACCCCCTACCCCCTTTTTGATAAAAATAAAGCTTACTACTAATAATAAAATACAGCCAGAGGTGTGCTGGGAGTGGAGGGGGACTGAGTTAAAGAAAGTAGGAATGGGGTAAAGGCTGGGACAAAGAGCAGACTCTCTCCCTGCAGGGGAGTATCAGGGGTCTGCAGCCAAGTTAAATGACAGCATGACTTCAGGAGGCCAGATTTGAGGGCTTTTATCTAAGATGCAGCATCGGAGTTTGGTTTAAGAGAGTAGGAAGTGATACATCTGTTACCCAAAGGACACTTCTCTTTTTAGAATAAATTACCTGCAGAGTTTAGGCCAAAGAGGTGGGCAAGGTAGATTTGGGAAACTGTTGCTTGCTAATATCACCAAACGCTTTCTTTTTATACTTGGTGGAGGCTTTAATTGGGGCAAGGACATTTTTATACAAAGATAGAGAAAACAATCACCTATGGAATTTGATTCCTTGCTCCATGCCCTCGCTAGCACCTCTCAACATGCTTGATGATATTTAAAATTTCTTCCTAGGGAAAAAACTTTTCATCCCACAATTAGAATCAGGCTTAACTTGCTTTTTGAAAAGGTAGTAGGCAATTTGTGTTAAGATCTAAATTACCAAGATTTTTATATCTTGAAACAGATTTAGATGATAGAGTGAGGTCGGTGGTGGTGGTGGTTGGTGGGAAGGGGTAGTTTTTTAGAGAGGGTATTAAGAGTTGGGGTTTTCAATGTGAGAGAGGTGAAGGTTTGAAAATAAGTAAGAAAAGCACTAAAAGGGTGAAGTCAAGGGCCTCAGAGAGCCAGGATGATAGATTCTATTTCACAGTTTAACACAGGATCACCATAGACCAAAGCAAGTTTATAACTAAGGCAATGAAGATCATCTGTCTCCTCCCTTCCCCATTAATTGTGAACTTTAGTTTTATAAGCTCCTAAGAGGCAGAAAACAAATTGGAGACTCGTCATCTATTTGGGAGTGTATGGCATGTATTTATTGTCCTAGGTGCTGGGTTTATTTTTTTCAGCTAATGACAGTTTTCCATGCTTTATGGTAAGTGACCATAAAGTAAGTGGTAAGTGACTTACCCTTCAGGCAGTTCAGCCCAGGACAGTCAGCAGAAGACTGTTTCCAGACCCCACCTGCTAGTTACAGATCATCCCTGATAGAGCAGAGAGGGGTGACCAGGTAGTGACTTTATAGTCACTGGAGGCAAAGCCCATTTTTGGACAGTTCATTGAGGGCTTACAGATAAAAGGTTCACAAATTATGCAGTGAGCTGGATGGAGTGTGAAGCGTATTTATGGGTCGTGCACATACATAATAGGTTTACTTTTTGAGATTTCAAAACATGTTTTAAACTTAACCTAGGATTCCCACCTGATTTAAACCTCTTATTTCTCTAATGTCAGCCAAAAATGTGAGTATGACATACAAAGAGAAATACATCAAGGACTTTTCATCCTCATAGTTTGCCAGTGATGCTGGAGAGTGTCAGAATTGGTGAGTAGCCTAATCAAACTTTCTTGCTCTGCATGCAGTGGCAGACAGTCCCTTTGCTGTTCCTTTGGGGCATGCAGACTAATAAAGTGCCACCATCATTTTATCTCTCAGTGAGCAGTAGTTTTAATGCTACTGCAGTGGTGGGAGCACTGGGCGTTGTCGTCCTCACCTGAGGACAAGCAGCTTTGTTTTGGATCATGTATCTGTTATTGTGATGGAGCCATTTATTTTTCAGGGAATGACGCCAAATGATGTTTGTCCCTTTGCTTTACATTTTTATAGCTAGGTCTTTGAAGCTGAACTGGAGGAACTTCTTAGCCAATACTGTCTTCTTAAACCAAAAGTTGACAGTTGCAGAAGACACGTTTTTTAGTGTCACGGCAACCAAGCAACATATTACCTTAAATTAAATTTACAGGTTGAGCATCCCTAATCTGAAAATCTGAAATTTGAAATGCTTCAAAATCTGAAACTTTTTGAGCACTGACATGACACCACATGTGGATTTTGATGTCCTAGTCAAAGTGCAGGTGAACAACACACAGTTTATTTGATGTTCTCTAATGAAAAAAGACCCTCTCAGCCCCCTTCAGCTGCAGTATAACTTTTCTACACATGCTCAGATTTCCCCATGCAAGCACACACACAAAGGGTCACAGAATGGCACATGTGCAAGCTGGACAAGCCAATGGCAGGATCCCCACAGATGGGACCTAAGTGCATGACTCGTTGTGTATTTTTCTTATTCTCTGCTCTGTGGTGTTAGCATACTGAAAATGTCAATAAGGCCTGTAGATATCCCTGCGAGCAGCAATGATAAGGAAAAGTAGAAACACTTAGAACACAGAAAGTCAAGCTGTTGGAGAAATTGGACTGTAGTGTAAAGGTATAGATGACATGGTGAAAATGTGTGATAGAGATATTGAAGATATTGAAGGACTAGAGCTACCTGCATTCATAACAGAACAAGAGGTCATGTCAGTTTATAAAATTAAAGAGAGACTTCCAAGACAAAAGCCCTTGATAATGAGGCAGATGACTCTGGAGAAACATTATAAAAAACCATCTGGCAGAATGCCTCCTCAGCCTCAGAGGACTCACCTCCTAGTTGCTCAACTCCTGATATTTCTTCTCACCTAAAAAAAGAAAAAAAATACAATGTACAGTAACCTTTTAATCAAAACGCAGCCTTGTAGGTGGAGCCTGAAAGCTTGCCATTGTTTATACAGCTGTTTAACAGCTGATGCAGGTATTCTGGTGATGCTACTGTGTTGCTTATTATTTTTTACTGTATTAATGGCATGTCATATTTTTACTTATGTGTGAATAATTGTGTGAAAATGATTGCTCATCAGTAGCATATAAATTCAGAGTCAGAAATGATGGTCAGTGATGTCAGACAGCCACAGATTTTCCACATGGAAGCTGAGATAGTGACACCTTTGCTTTCTGATGGTTCCATGTACACAAACTTTGTTTCATTCACAAAATTATTTGAAATATTATATAAAATTACCTGTAGGCTATGTGTATAAGATATATGAAACATAAGTGAATTTCACATTTAGACTTGGGTCTCATCGCCAAGATATCTCACGTAGATGCAAATATTATAAAATCCAAAAAAAAATTCCGAAACCCTAAACACTTCTGGTTCCAAACATTTCAGATAAGGGATACTCAATCTGCATATATAAAATATTTATGTATCACATACATAGTATGTATAAAATATGAATTTCCATTCCTCTACAGGTTACTATTCTGGTACATTCCCGTTATATTCTGTTTATCAGACTGCAACTAAAACTTTCATGGGTTCAGCTTTATGTTGAACAGAATTTGCAGAATTATGAGTTGAAGCAAACCCTAGGTTGATAATGCTATGATTCTCCTAAATCACCAAAGTGCATGAAATGATTTTAAAGCTCCAGAAATACTGAAGCAACTTTGTGATAAAAATTATTAGTGGATGCACAAGGAGTCTATAATGTCTTGGTTTTGCTATTGCTTACTAAGGTGCAGCACCAGTTTGAATTTGAATACCAGACCAAAGTGGATGGTGAGATAATCCTTCATCTTTATGACAAAGGAGGAATTGAGCAAACAATTTGTACGTTGGTTGGTGTGTTTGCATTTGTTTTACTGGATTCTGCCAATAAGAAAGTGTCCCTGGACAGAGATACATAAGGAGTCAGACCTTTGTTTAAAGCAGTGACAGAAGATGGATTTTTGGCTGTGCGTTCAGAAGCTAAAGGTAATAGTAAATTTACGTATAGATTTTCATTATTGTCTTGGTCGTGTGTTTTCTTTTAAATTATATCTGAAAATCTCTTAGCAATCCAGAATTTTACAAGTGACTAATTAAGTTGTGAGTTCTTACCTTTTTTAAAAAAACAGAGTAGTTTTACTCTCCTTTTCAGCACTTAAATTCTGTAATCCTTGAAGGATGGGTCTTTAGTGTAGTCATTTATTTTTGGTGTGCTAATATGCTCTGCATATAGCTTGATCGTAAGTGCAGTTTTAAGTTTTCCTGTGTCATACTGTAATGATAGGGTTGGCTCTGCAATTATTGCCCTGCAGTACTTTGCTGAAGTTATAGCACAGCAAATATTAGGATTTCTAAAACAGCTTTATTGGCAGTTTACATGCCATGTAATTCACCCACTCGAAGTATATAGTTCAGTGGTTTTCAGTATATTCACAGATGTTGGGAACCAACACTCCAATCAATTTTAGAATTGTTTTTCCACCTCAAAAAAAAATCCTATGCCCTTTAGCTTATTTTCTTTCTATTTATTTATTTATTTATTTTAAGAGATGGGGTCTTGCTCAGTCGACCAGCCCAGGCTGGAGTACAGTGGTGTAATCATAGCTTAGTGCAGCCTTGAACTCCTGGGCTCAAGCAATCCTCCCATCTCAGCCTCCCTAGTAGCTAGGAGTACAGGCATGGACCACAACACCCTGCCTCCTGTGCCGTTTAGCTTTCAATTCTGTCTCTCCACATACATCATCTGCACCCCCGCAGTTGTAGCACTGGCAATCACCAATCTTTCTGCCTCTGGATTCCCTATTGCGTGTGTTTCATATAAATGGGATTATCTATCATATGGGCTTTTGTTACTGGATTCTTTCACTTGGCATAATACTTGCAAGGTTTGTCTATGCTGTGACATGTATCAGTACTTACTTTTTATGGCCACATGATACTCTGTTACATGGATACACTGGATTTTGTTTATGCACTTGTCAGTTGATGGATATTTAGGACATTGTTTACCCCTTTTGGCTATTATGAATAATGCTGCTATAAACATTGGTGTATAAGTTTTTGTGTAGACATTTGTCTTCGGTGTTTATCTAGGAGCAGAATTGCTCAGATGCATATAACTGTCTAATTGAGGAACTGCCAAACTACTTTTTGAAATGGCTGCATTATTTTTTATTCCCTCCAGCAGTGTATTAAAATTTCAGTTTCTCCACATCTTCACAAACACTTACTGTGTGACTTTTTAATTGTAGCTATTATAATGTATGTGAAATTGTATCTCCTTGTGGTTTTGATTTGTATTTTCCTATTGAAGGTAGTGTCTTTTCTCATGCTTATTGGCCATGTGTATATCTTCTTTGGGGAAATATTTGTTGAGATCTTTTGTCATTTTTTTTTCCTGCTAGGGATCATTTTATTTTAAAAACAATAGACTTTTTTTTAGCAGTTTTAGAAAAAATAGAGAGAAAAGTGCAGAGAGTCCACATATGCTCCCTTACAGTGCCCCTGCCCAGTTCTCCCAACTCTTAACACCTTGCGCTACTGTGCTAAATCGATTAGATTTGATGAACTGATACTTATATCTGAAATTCATAGTTTACTTCAGGGTTCACTCTGTGTTTTATAGATTTTTGGATTTGACAAATGTATAATGTCATGTACCCACCATTACAGTATTATGTAGAACAGTTTCATTGCCCTAAAAATCTCCTGTGCTCCACTGAGTCATTCCTCCCCCTCCTCTTCCTCCCAAACCCCCGGTCATTACTAATCTTTTTACTCTCTAATTTTGCCTCTCCCAGAATGTCATATAATAGATCATGTAGTATGTATCCTTTTCAGACTGGCTTCTTTCACCCAGCAGTATACATTTAGGGTTCTTCTGTGCTTTTTCATGGCTTGATAGCTCATTTTTTAAATTGCAGAATAATATTCCATTTGTTTGCATGTATTGCAGTTTGTTTATCCATTCTTGAATTGTCTATCTCTAATTGGGTTGTTTTGTCTTTTTATTACAGAATTGTAATTGTTCCTTATGTACCCCAGACACAAATCCCTTGTGTTCATCAGGGTTGCAGGATACAAGATCAATATACAAAAATCAATAGTATTTGACACACTTTAACTGAGTACTACATACTCACAATGAGCAATCAGAAAATGAAATTAAGAAAGCAACTTCATTTATCATAGCATCAACAAGAATAAAATACTGATATATTTAAGAAGTGTAAAACTTGTACTCTGAAAACTATAGAACATTTTTGAAAGAAATGAAAGAAGATCTAAATAAATGTAAAAGTATCCCATGATCATGGACCTAAGGCTTAACATTGTTAAGAAGGCAATACTCCCTAAACTCATCTACAAATTTAACTTCATCCCTGTCAGAATCCCGGATGAGTTCTCTGTAAAATGGACAAGCTGACTCTGAAATTCATATGGAATTACAAAGGACTAGGAATAGCCAAAATAATCTTTTGAAAATGAGAACAAAGTAGGAGAACTCATACTTACTGACTTTAAAACTTACTACAAGTCAGTGGTAATCAGGACAATATAATACTGGCAGAAGGATAGATGTATAGACCAGTGGGATAGAATTGAGAGTCAGATATGAACCCATACATATATAACCACTGCTTTTGACAAGGGTGCCAAGATTATTCAGTGGGGAAAGAAGTTTGAGAACTGGCACAAGGACAACTAGATATGTAAACATATGCAAATCCTGGAATAGGACCTTTACCCAACACCACATACAAAAACTATGGATGCAAAAAAAGTGGATCAAATGGATCCATTTTGAGCTAATCCACGTAAATGTAAGGACTAAAACTATAAAATCCTGAGAAGCAAACATAGGAGTAAATTGTCATGACCTTGAATTTGGCAAAGTTTTCTTAAATATGAGACCAGCAACAAGAATAAAAATTGATGAATTGGACTTCATCAAAATTAAACATTTTTGCACTTCAAAGGACACCGTCAAGAAAGTGAAAAGACAACTCACAAGATGGAAGAAAATACTTGTAAATCATGTGTAGCACTTTTTGATGATAAACTTGAGGAAGACTTTTTTATTTTTTATTTTTATTATACTTTAAGTTCTAGGGTACATGTGCACAATGTGCAGGTTTGTTACATATGTATACATGTGCCATGTTGGTGTGCCGCACCCACTATCTCATCATTTACATTAGGTATATCTCCTAATGCTATCCCTCCTCCCTCCCCCCACCCCACGACAGGCCCCGGTGTGTGATGTTCCCTATCCTGTGTCCGAGTGTTCTCATTGTTCAATTTCCACCTATGAGCGAGAACATGTGGTGTTTGGTTTTCTGTCCTTGCGATATTTTGCTCAGAATGATGGTTTCCATATATATATATGTCAGTTGCCAGGACTGCTGGGCAAGCCTGGGAAAGAGAGTACCTGGGGAAAGCAGCCTCCTGCTCCCCCGTGCCTTCTTTGAGCCTGATGTTCATTTGATGTGGTACTATATAATCACATCCAGTTTACCCTTTGAAATTCCTTGATTGTTCTTTTCTATTTCCTTGACACTGTCCTTTTACAGACCACATAATCTTATCTGGAATACTACAACAGTTTTCTTTTCTCAGTGATTTTAGAATAACCTGTCAAAAACTCATCTGACTATAGTAGTACCTGCTTACAACCTTTTAATTACTCCCCATTCCCTACCAGGCTGTGTAGCTCACTTGAGCTCTGCTAGGTGGTGAGGGAATCTGGGTCCTTTTTCTGGTATTTGAATTCAGTGCTACATAGGTTACTGGCTGGGTTGACAATCTGAAATTGTAAATCATGAGTATTCTATGTAGATAGACTGTCACGATTTACAATAAAACATTGACATGTCAAAGATCATGGTGATGTGAGGTTGGGTACTGTCTGTGAGAATTAATTGAGGAAATTAAAATTATATGGTTTTATTTACATAGAGTGTATAACAACTAGTTAAGGGATAGATGTCTTCTTATCTGACTTTCAAGTATCTAAGAGTGGATTATTGTGCTTGTTAAAGTTCTGGGAACCATGGCTATTTTCTGAAAATACCTCAGTGATGACAAATGAATGACTACCAGCCTCTTGTAACATTAGGACTCCAGTTCATCCCTTTGCTTCATAGGTGTGTCTTTTCCTTTTGTATATATTTGCTTTAGTGTAGAAAATAGGTTTTCTTGATTAGAAATCTAAGAAGAATAAATTGAAAACTGGAGATTTTTCTATTGCTTTGGATTACCAAAATTAATGTAATTTGGCACTATATCCCTGTGCCATTATTGTCTCTCTGGTAAGTAGATGGTAGGGTTTTGGGTGATTAAATTTTTTTCCCTATTTTGCTTATTTAATGGGCATATGTTTGTATTAAAAAGGGGAAAATAAATAGGAATGTAGAAGATGTTAACTAATCGTGAAAGTTATTGGGAAGGGTTACCTAATTTAAAAGTTGGCCAGCCATGGCAGAACTGCCTGTAGTCCCAGCTGTGGGGGAGGCTGAGGCAAGAGGATGGCTTGAGTTCAGGGGATAGAGGTTACAGTGAGCTATGATTGTGCCACTGCATTTCAGCCTGAGGGACAGAGCCAGACCCTGTCTCAGAAAAACCTAGAACAGCAACAAACAGAGAGAGGAGCCTGGACGGATTGAGCAATATTAGTGTCCGGGAGCTGCTGTAGTGATGGCTTATGACATCACGAATTTATTCTCTCACAGTTCTGGAGGCCACAAGTCCAAAATCAAGGTGTGGGCAGAAATGCGCTCCCTCTGCAGACTCCTGGGGAGGATGCTTGTTTCTTCCAGCTCTGCGACTGTGGTGCCTGCAGCCATTGGAACCAGCTCTGCACGGCTCAGACCTGGGTGATGAGGACACAGCTTTGCAGGTGGGCAGCCACATCCCCAGGGGGAGACTGTGGGCCTGTGGCAGGGTAGGGGCAACCAGTGCAGGGGCTCCCCATTGTTGCCCCTGAGCTCCTGGGGCTTGTGGAGAAAGACAGGTGGATGCACACATACTGCAGCTCCCTGGATCTGAGCCTTGGTTTCCCTACCTGTGAAATGGGCACCCATGGCAGCTCAGAAGTGTCTGGGAGCATCCCCTGTGGGGGAAGGTGTGGGGGGCTGCTGGGGCACAGTCATGGGGAACCCCAGTCCCCCTCTCCATGTGCTTCCCTCAATGCTCCCTGATGCCAGCAGTCCTGCCCCCGAACAGAAAGGGGCATTCCTGTGAGTTCCTTGTGTGGGGGACTGGTCACAGAGACTCCCCAAGTGCAGGGCAGGGTGGAGGGAGGCTGAGGGGTGGTTGAATGGACAGGAGAAGAGCTCTCTCCAGTCCCTTGGGTCTGGGTGGCCTGGGGAGCATCCATTTGGGCAGGCAGCTGGTGGGGCTGGTGGCTGAGCCACTGTGGCTCGGGGACCCCAGGCCAGGACAGAGTAGGGTGGGCAGGGAGAGCAGAGTGCGAGCATATGGGGCAGGACAGGTGTCTCCTGGACAGAAAGAGCCCTGGTCACTCATGGCTGCAGCATAGCCATGGCGACAGGAAAGTGCTGCTGTACATTGTGCTCCTGGGGCTGGCTCCCAATGGACACCCAACAGCATCTCCCCCATTGTACTGTGGGATGCTGGCAGTGGTGCTGGGCACTGGGGTAAGAGCCTTGGCAAGCCCTTCGCTCCCTGGGTGTGAGACTTTGGGCTCCTGGATGCCTGGGTTTCTGTGTCCTATTTTTCCCATGGAAGATGTTTGGGGTGCTCCCAGGAAATGGGGAGGGCCCTGGGGGGTCAGGATTGTATTATTAAAGCCAGAAAGTCTGGGGTTCCATTTTTAGCACAAGGCAGGCAGCCCATGAGCCCCAGCCCAGTGGCCAGCCTGTGTGGGAGGGGAGTGGGGGTCTGAAGGAGTGAGGCTTCTGTTACTGCAGGCTCCACAGCAGCCCCCCAGGGTGGCCCGTGTGGGCTGGACAGCGGGCACTGCACCAGGGGCTCTGGCGCCGACCTTGAGCCATGCATCTAATGCCTGTGAGAGTGATCTCTAGGAGCCACTGCACAAGGGGGCAGATGAGGGAACCCTGACATGGGACAGCCGAGGGCGACCCCAACACGGAGCGGGCAGCTGTGTCCAGGCTCCACTGGATTCCGCAGAGGACAGAACACAGCTCTGACTCCAGGGTGTGGGCTCACTGAGGGACAGGACAGGCTGGGGTTGGGAGAGGGCCATGCTGCAGCTGGGCCAGATCCCACCTGCACCCCTCAGATGGCAGGGCCTGGACGTCTCCATCCCCACCCTGACCCGGTCAGTAACAGCCATGGGCCAGCAGCCCCCAGCAACCCCTCCCTCTGTGAACTGCCAAGGACAGGAGGTACCACAGTCTCTTCCAGGCAAGAGCTGCTGGAGCCTTCTTTATTCTTGTGCTAGAAGCCCAGGGTGGGGAGAGGAGCCTGAGAACAGCCCAGTGTGGGCATCCACCTTCCTGCCCACTTTGGAGGTCTGAGTCACCTCCGGCCACTCTCCCAATCCCCAGGAGCCCAGAGGCTTCCTGGAGCAAGCCACACCTGATCTCCACCATGGGTAGGAGTTCAAGGCCAGGCCAACAGGGACTCCACAGAGGGGCCTGTGGGTTAGCAGCAGCTGCCAGTGTCCAGATGGCCTCAGGGGTGGGGGTTAGACAATCTGGAGGTCAGCAGGGAATTCAGCATGAGGAGACAGCCCTTAGGGTTCTGGCCCAGCAGCCCCAGGTGCTGGCTCTGCACTGAGTCATGAAGTTTGTGGGCCAGGGGCGTTGGCCTCTCTCTAGCTGAGAGTGACTTCCATCACTGCTGTCATTAGCCTCCCCTGCATCAACCTGTCCCTGGGGTGGGAGCACAGTTGGCACAGGGACCCTCAGGCCTTAGTTTTCCCTGCTGTAAAATGCATGTGATAGGCTGTCATGAGGTCTGAAGGAGTTAAAACCTGCCATGTGCTCAGGATGACACCTAGCTCGGTGCCTCCTACCCTGGTGCCACCATCCGGCATCAGAGATGAAATACTTCTCCCAGGCCCCCTCCCCTGGCACCCCCCACACTCAGCTCTCCATCAGCCACCCCCTCCAGGGTGGGACAAGGAGGTCCTGAGCCTGATGGGGACCTGACAGGGCTGGGCAGCGCCACCTGGGCCTGGGCGATAATGGGAGCCTGAGTGTGGGGCCTGCATGGAAGGAGCCATTGTTTCTTGGGCCTCTTAGTGGCTACTTCCCTAGAGTCTGGGAGAAGTGCTGCTGTTCAAGAGGGGACAGTGCCAGCAGCTCCTTCTGAGGCTGGGGTGGGCACAGCGTGGAGGGGCCTCACCTCCACCCACCTCCCATGGAGGTTCCTGGCTCTCCTGGAGGACTCCTTGCTACTGGGCTGAGGCACCAGGGCTGACCAGTCCCAGGATGGTGTTGGACAACCTGCATCCCCCTGCAGCAGGCAGGGAGGGCACTGCAGCCACCACCCACCCACACCTGACCCCTCCCTGGCCATCGTGTCTAGGGTGGCAGGGAGTGAAGCCCCCACCCAACAACCTCCCCCAGCTCAGGGGCCTTTGAGTTCACCACCATCTGCCTCACTGCAGGTTTCCCCTGTGCTGGGGGTGATTGCAGGGAGATGGTTCTTTGGCGTTCCCTGGGCAGGTCATTGCCTCAGCCCCTGCCTGGTGTCCTGGAGCAGCTTTGAGGAGCTACACGGACAGGACACCAACTGTCTGCAGCCCCCAGGTGAGGCTTGGCTGCTGTGTCCCACTGCCTCTGCTCCTGGCTGTCAAAGCCCCATGGTAACAGCATCCAGGGTGAATTTAAATGGCACCCCAAAGAATAAGAGTGGGCCTGGGTGTCACTGTAGTGGCTGGTGGCTTGTGACAAGTAGTGTGGCTTCCGTGGTGATGAGAAGTGACAGTTCCCCCTGAATCTGCACTGGAGAGAAGGTCCTGGAAGCTTTCAGGCCCACCCTCCAGGGTCTGGGTCTGCATCTCTGAGAGTGGCTGGGTGAGCAGAAGAATCCTGACTGCCTGGCAGTCGGGTTTGGAGCTGGGGAGGGCTGGGCCTGGTTAGCAATGAGCCTATCACAGTGAACCAGAGCTCAAGATAAAGCGAGAGGCCTAGCCCAGACACCTCCTTCCCTGGTCCCAGCCCCTGTGCCTTGGCCTGTGCAGTGGAAGCCAGGCTCCCTCCTCCAGGAAGTCTTCCCTGCACTTCCTGCTCACACACAGCCTCTCCCAGATTTCTCCCCATCCAGGCTGAGTAGGATTCCCAAGAAGGCTCCTCCCTGAGCCAACTGCCTGCAGTCAACATTATCACCTCCCCCAGTGAATGGCAGTAGTGTTTTTCATCTTCAGCAGTGGCCTCTGGAGGGGTCCTAGCAGGTCGGGGAGAGAGGTCTGAGTTAGTCCCACGTGAAAGGCAGCCCATGCCTCTCCTCCCAGCAACCCCTAGCAGCAACTTCCACCTGGCTGACCCCACCCAGCTCACAGAGTTGCCCAGCTGGGTGTCCTTGTGGTTGATTGGGGGGAAGGGGCTGTTACCTCCCGGTCCCCTTCAGGCTGAGACAAGAGCCCTGTGGGTCTGGATCTTGCAGATGGGACCCCCACCCACATGCTCTCCAGGTGGATGCCCACCCTGAGCTGTTCTCAGGCCCCTCTCCCCACACTGGGCCCACACCCCGGAGGGAACTCCATGTACCCCTGCCGATCTGCCCATCTGAGCCTCAGGGGTCCTGGGCACTGAGAGCTGGGCTGGGCTGAGCTCAGGTACACACTGTCATTGGGGACGGAGAGGGGATGCTGAAGTGGGTGCTTCTGCGTGGGGCCTGCCTGGAGGATCGCCACAGCAGGTGCACCCAGCAGCCAGACCAGCTTCTAGCAGAATAAGCGCACTGTCACAGGGGTATGTGAGCTGAGGCTGGGGGCCTGGAGGTGCAGGGGGAGGAGTTGGGGAGATGCAGAGGCCCCAAAGATGTCCCAAGTCCCTAAGACTCTGGTGAGGGAATGGAGGAGCCAGCACTGGTGGGGAAGTGGGCAGGGGGAACTGGATGGCCTGGCTCTGAGCTGGACACACGGTCTGCACCCACACTTGAGCTGTGCTGTGAAGGCCCAGTCCCCACCTGGGCATGTCCTGTCCTCTGAGGCACAGGGATTCCTCCCCCTCAGCTCTGACCCCTCATCTCCAACTGTTGGGATGACGAGTCCATAGGCAGAGCCAGCCTCACAGGGGACCCAAAGGCCAGTTCAGATGGACAGCAACTGGAGGTCCCACCGGGCACACACACACACTGTGCAGAAAGCTAACGCACTGTTTATTTGGGGGATTGGGGGGAAGCACCGTGCCGCTGCTCACTGGTAGCCAGCCAGCTGCAGAATGGTGGGGTAGCAAGTACGA
Source organism: Homo sapiens (assembly GCF_000001405.40). Classification (NCBI taxonomy): domain Eukaryota; kingdom Metazoa; phylum Chordata; class Mammalia; order Primates; family Hominidae; genus Homo; species Homo sapiens. The sequence goes on from NT_113888.1 coordinate 53,693, forward strand.
TGGGCCATGCACTTCTGGCGGTCGATGAAGACACTGTTGGTCATGGCGGTGACGTCCTTCTCCAGGCTCATGTGGATGTCCTTGAGGTTGCGCAGGGACTGCTCCGCTTGTAGAAGCTTCTCCCGCAGCGCTGTGATGGACTTGTACAGCTCCTCCACCTCACTCACCAGCTTGGGGGTGTTGGGGGGTGTGAGCTGGGGCTGGGGAGGGCAGAAGTATGCACCTACTGGGGTGGAGGGGACCCAAAACTCCCAATGGGAGCTGGCAGGAGGTCCTGGGAAGACGCCATGAAAGGATCCTACCAGGAAAGCGGCTCTAGGGCAGAGCATAAATTACGAGGGTCCTCCCAGGGAGCGCGGACCTGAGTGGGAATGAGTGACCCGCGTGCAATCTCGACCCTGACAGGACAGGACTGGCCTCAGCCGACCAGGCTCAGTTCTTTCCATTCCTGATATTTGACGGAAGGAGGCACCCAGTTCCTTGAAGGAACTGAGGGGCAGGGAAGGAAGAAAGGTACTTAGGCTCAGAAGGGGCCACCAGGCATCCGTTAACAAGGGAAACAAAAGGACGGCCCATCTATGCCTGTAGCCCAGGCGTAGGTCATACTTTCCACCAGAGGTGGGGACAGCACCCTCAGGGCAGCAGGGAATGGCCCTCTCTGGCCTCTCTGGCCCCGTGGCCTCCAGGAGCTCACCTTGTCTGAAGGAGCTTCCTCCCGGGAAGATGAGGTAGCACAGGGTGGGGTGAGACCACGTGGGCACAGGTCCCTGGCACGGGGAGGCCCCCGACCCATGACCTGCCCAGTGTCATGTCTATATCTGTGTGTTTAAGGCGTGCTTGCATGTTGTGTGTGGCCGCAGAGTCTCCCTCCCCTCTCAGCACCTGTGGGGGATGTGTGTGTGGAGATTGGAGTGTTTATTGGAGAGGGTCGCAGCGAGGAGGTGGACGGGGGCACCTGGGACTGCCTCAGAGGCCCAGGCAGTACCTGAACTGGGCTGCATCGCGGCACAGCTGCATGTTGGGCCGGTGTGAGAGCAGCTACAGCCGGGTCTGGGCTATGTGCAGAGGTTCCTCCTTGTCCTTGATGGCCTCCTTCAGTGCCACCACGTTGTGTTCCTGATCTGTGATTTCCCGCAGCATCTGCAGACAGGACAGTGCCCCTTGGGCCTGTGCCCCCATGCCCGGGCATATGGAATGTAGAGACCAGTCTGGTCCTACCCAGCTCCTGGGGCTGTGTCCAGAGGGTGGTCCTGACCAGTGGCCCTGGGGAGGCGTGGGTGAGGGGAACAATGTGCACGGGGCCCCCAGCGGGCTCTGGAGAGTCAGGCAGCCTGTTGTCTCTTAGCTCTGGTCCAAGAACCCCCATCCTTGGTGGTCACCAGGACCCAAATCCTGCTCAAGGACTGGGGACTCAGAGGTGGTAAAGGCCATGCTGAGGCCCTAGAGTCAGAGCCCTGCCTGCCAGGCCAGGACTCTTGGGGACCTCCCAGGCAGTCAATGCTCCCCAGACCAGCTCCTGCCTCCATCCTCCCCACAGCTCCTCCTTCTCAGTCATGGGGGTTGCAACACACTGCGATCATACCCAGTGTCACCTGGTTTTACATAGGTTTACGGAGAGGTGACACTTGCTTCTGGGGTCCCTCGGGATAAGTGGGACAGAGGAGAAAGGTGTTGAGGGCCCAGGCCAGGTGATGAGAGGGGGCAGAGTGGTGGGCAGGCGCCGGAGCCGTCTTCGGGGTTCAGGGTGCCCCACCTTGTGCAGGTGGTGCTGCAGCTTGTGCCGCGCGTCCTCCAGTTCCTCACAGCGGCGCCCGAAGGCCAGGTTCACGGCGTCACACTGGAGTCCCAGGTCCTCGGAGGTGTCGCGAAGGATGCAGTCCACCAGCACCCACAGGTTGGCCGAGTCCAGGCGCTCGCGCTGGGCGTGGCACAGATTGTCCTGTGTGAACTTGGTCCGGGTCTCTGGGGTGGAGGCGCTGCGGGGCTGGGGACAGCCAGGAGAGGGTCAGGGAGGCTATGCCAGTGGCTGGGGGCCCTGCCGCGCCCCCATTCCCTGTCTGCACCCCATGCTCCTGGAGGAACTGCATGGACTCCAATGCACCCCGTGCAGACTCACAAAGCCCAGTCCCCCAAGCTCCCTGCCTCCGAGTGCCCCCCGCCCACAACTCCCCTGAGTCCACCCACACCCTACCCACCCCGGGCACTTAGTCCCCTCCTGCCCCCGCGACCCCGTTCCCAGCACCGCTGCCCCCAAGGCCCCCTCTGCAGCACCTCTGTCCCCCGCAGCCCCCCTTCCCTAGTACCCAGCGCCCGCGTCCGCTTCTCGCACCCAGGAGTTTGCTATGCTCAAGTGGGCGGTGTTCGTGCTCCCTCTGCTGGCCTTGGGTGGAAATGCAATCCTGCCGGTGCCTGGGGCTGACCGCACCCCACCCTGTCCTGTCTACGGGCAACCAGGCTGTGCACGCGCTGGGCACTTGAGGAGGTCTTGCATGCTTTCTCATGCCAGGGGCAGACAGTTGCCCAAGTGCCCTCGGGGGCGAGGGCCTCTGGGCCAGGCTGGGGGAAGCAGTGCCGCTGGGGCCCCCAGGCAGAGGGAGGCGAGACCACAGCCAGGGCAAGCACGGGGCAGAGCTGGGGCCCCCCTCTCTTGGAAGGTGGTGGAGTGCCGGATGAGCCTGCACCTCGGTGCTCTGGCTGTGGTGGCGCCCGCAAGTCTTGTCGAGGTTGTAGGCCTCCACCTTGTCCGACCAGTCCATCTCGCAGATCTCCATGTGCTCTCAGTTCAGTCTGGGGCGGGGTGGGGCAGGGCCTTGGTGTGTGGCCAGGGAGGGCCCCGCTGGGGACCCTCCATGCTGCAGGCTAGGACTTCATGCCCGCTTCAGGAGGGAGCTCTGGGCCGGCTGTCCTCGTGCTCAGCAGTGACCAAGAGCTGCCGCCCATGCTGGGAGGCTGCAGAGCAGTTGTGGCACTGGGCTTTGGCCACTCAAACTCAGGCTGGTCCGGAACCTCCCCCACCCAGCCCTGTGCTCCCACTGTGACCTGGGACAGCCCCTGCCGGCTCTGAGCTTCAGGGTCCTGTCGTTCAATGCCTTGCCCCAGGACCAGCCGTGGGTGGGGTCAGGAGTCATCCCTTGGGCAGCCCTCGACCCACCAGATCTGGCTCACTGCTTGCATGATGGCTCTCTTCAGCAGCTCCTGAATGTTCCGGATGAGCTCAGCTTCCTGAGGGAGGAGACGCCCTGAGCACCAGAGCCGGTCCTTGGTGAGGATCCCAGGAGGCCCAGCTGCTGCAGGCCTTGGTCAACACCTGAGCAACCAGAAATAGTTGAATGCCGGGCCTGAGCTCTGACTGTGCAAGTTCTGCTCTCTCACTGGGTTTATCCTGGGCTTTTGGGCATTCTCCTTGGTGCGTTGTAAGTGGGGTGTTTTCCTCCAGGGCCTTCTATGGGCTGCTGGGAAGGTCACTCAGTGGCAGTTCCCACGCCCCAGGCCTCAAGAGTCATCACTGCTGCTCACTCAGTGCACCCAGGAACGTTGGCCTGTCCCTGGCCTCTGGACAGCTCCTGAGGACCCAAACTCTGGGGGCCCAGATGCCCGCCCAGGCTGCCCCTCAGGGCTCTGTGTTGGGAAAGACCATCCTCACACCAAGAGCAGGAGGAAGACCCTGTGTTTCTTCTTACTGCCTGGCCAGTTTAATTTTCTGTGTGTAGGAACAAGACTTTTTTCCCTGTGATTGGGGTCTTTGCCTGGACCACCAGCTACCTCCTTGTGTGCCAGAGCCCGAGTCCTGCACCCCTCTGTCCCTGGGTTTTCCTCTTCCTGCACTGTCAGTGTCTCCATCACTTCGCAGGCACCCTTGTTGCAGGCAGAGGGTTTGCGGGAGCTGCAGCAGTTCTTGAGGCACTGAGAGGGTGCAGGGGGATAGGCCTGCAGAAGGGGAAGGGAGGGAGGAGGGAAGGCATGAGGGGAGGGAGGGACTCAAGGGTTCTTGCCTGAGTTTGGGGGTATGGCAGGAGACCAGCTGCCTCCACCCCACATCTTTCACAAATGTCTACAGGCCTGTAGTGGTTCTCATGGAGGCCCCAGGCTCTGAGAGCTCAGGGAATTCTCCAGAGCCAGCATCAGGGCCAGGACTGAGTTACTTCCTCACCCTATGGGGTTGCCCCATAGACAAGCTGGGCTGGATTGGGAAGTTACAGGTGACATGGAGAAGGGGACCTGTGGGTGCAGATCTTCGTGTCCCTGGCTCTGTATAGGATGAATGGGAGCAGTGGCTCCCAGCCTATCCCACCCTACCTGTCCACACCCGCAGTGCTGGCCCAGACCTCGGTTTCCACCTCGGGAGCAACTGTCCCAACCAGGGAGGGTCTCTGGGGAGCCCAGGGTCAGGATGACTGTGCCAGGACTCAAAGGTATTGGAGGAGGAGAGGAGAAACAGCTGCTTGGAAGTCAGGGGCCTTCTGGGGCAAAACTGCCTCCTGTCACTAAGGGGTCAGATTTCGGGACTCAGGGGTCTCACGCACAGAGGGCTGGTCTCCCGTGTGCTTGCAGCAGCCACGTGGCTTGTCCACATGAACTGCCGGGGGCTCCTCCTCTCTGTGCCCACAAGTCCTGGCCACCCAAGGCTGCTGGCACCTTCAGCAGCTCTGTCTCCACATGGTCACGCAAAAGGTTGGTGTGCTGGTGGCGCTGGCTGCACTGCATGTTGTCAGTGGTGATGGAGAAGGGCACCTCCATGGCATCCAGGGCGCGCTCCAGCCGTTGCTTCTGGGCCAGCAGCAGGTCGGTCTCCGCAGCCAGTGCCTCCACCTCACGCTGCAGCTCCGACTTCCAGCTGTTCGTGTCCTGCAGTCGCTCGCCCACCCTGCACGTGGAGTCTTGCTGTGTCGGCTGTGCCAGTGCCTGGGTCTCTGCGGCCAGCTGCTGGCTCTCGTGCCCCTGCAGCTCCCGCTCTGACTGGTTGCAGTTGGCGAAGGCCTGGCGGTAGCGAGCATAGCAGTTCTGGAACCACACCTCCAGCCAGCGGTGGCCAGGCCGGAGGACGTGTAGGCGCCCGTGTTTCTGGCCACGTCATACTCTTTGCAGGGCAGCTCGTAGGGTGGCACTGTCTGTGGGGCCAGCTCTGGTAGGAGCACATCCGTCTGCACCATGGTGTCTGCCGCCCACCAGGGCCAGGGGAGTGAGGAGTGTGTGTGGTCAGCTTGTTGCGGTCAGCCCAGTGCAGTCATCGGTCGGCTCCAACGGCTCAGTCCCAGAGCAGGACCTGGCTCCCAGTCGCTTGGGTGACACAGTAAACCAAGAGCTTCCTGTTGCCAAGAAACGGGATCTCTTCTCCAGTGGCTAGGGGAGGGGGCATTCAGGGCGGTGGGCAGAATTGCCCTCTTAAAGGGCCAGGCAGCCCCAGCCCCACCATCCCTGTCCCCACCTCGGGGCAATCAACAGTGGCCAAGGGTTCCTGTCACTTAGAGGATCCCAGGGCCAGCCCGTCTCCAGCCTCTGTGTCCCACTCTTAGGGTTCAGGGTGTGGGTGGGGACCTACTGCCCTGGCCCCTTCGTTGATTCATCCATTTGTTCCTAGTTTGCTCTCTGATCCTGTCCTGTGCGGAGCTCTGCGCTCAGGGTGAACAAGACAGAGGAGGCTCTGCCCACCTGCCCCCTCAGGGCAGAGGGCTGTGGCTGTTGTGTGGATGTTGGGTGTGCTGAGTGATAGTGTTACTTGATGCCGTACAGGTGGCTGCTCTCCCTGCCCTCCTGGCCCCAACAGCAGCCTGGTAGCACAGGGAGGGTCCCAGGCCAGGCCCCCTCAGGGGCAGTCTGAGGCAGTTCCTGCAGGGACTCCGCTCCATTTTCTCCTGGACCTAGTGCCTGAGAGCCAGGCCCTGGCCTCTGGCCTTCTCCTCCCAAGTCCCAGCCAGGGTCCTCTCAGGCTGGGCACAGTGGGGAGGGAGGGAGTCTGAGTGTGCTTTTCCCTGGGGAGTTGAATTCAGCCTCTGGGTAAGTGTCCAGAGTCAGATGCCCAACTCTGCCCCACAGGGCGGAGGCAGGTCCTGTGCTGCCGAGGCTGCCCTGAAAGCCACCCAGGGCCATGCTGCCTGGCAGAGGCTGGATGGGCAGGAAGCGCCCCAGGACACATCGGAGTCCCCCAAACCTGGGGCCAGGGGAGCCCCAGCCTAGGCGCGATTCCCCACGCAGCCAGCGGAGGGTGGCGTTGGTCTGGCGGTGAGAAGCCTGCGGCTCCTGGCTCGGCCTCCCCTCCGCCTGCCTGGCGCATGCAGTCCTGGGGACCCCAGCCCCTCCGGCCTCCTCTTCCCTGAGAATCCCGCACCAGAAAGTCCTCGCTAGGAAGTCCATGCCCTTCCTACAGCACAGGCCCCTGGGCCCCTGTTCCTTCCACCTTCACCTCCTCTCTCACCACAGCCCACACCCTCACTCCAGCCACAGGAGCCGGGGCTCCTCCTGGGCCATTTCTACCACCCCGCCCAAGTCTCACCAGCACAACCATGTGCCGGCCAGTGCCCTCCTCCTGGACCTGACCTCCCCCGGACCTGACCTCTCCCGTGGCCAGAACCCTCAGTCCATGCAGCTGTCACCACGGTGCGCCTGGCCTGACACAGCCTCCTGATGGGGCTTTGAGGACAGCAGCCAGTAGACTTACCCCAACCCAGGCCGAGCCAGAACCTATTGCAGGTGGCCTGGGAACCTCTTCTCACTGTCCGTCAAGATTGGGAGGTCAGCGGACCTTCAGGGACTGGTGTGGTCTGAGAAACATCCTTGAGCCTCGCCATGACTCAGTTTCCCCAGATGGCATCAGGCTGGAGCCCATGCAGGGCAGGATGCCAGGCTCCACCTTTTGTCTGGAACCTGCATTCACTGGGCACCTCTCTGTAGGCATAGCAGAGCAGAGCTCCCTGTTTCTGTCCCTGATCTGCAGCCCCAGGAGCCCGAGAGACCACCTAAGCCAAGGGGAAGGCCTCTGGGCCAGAGCCCAGCTCTGCGAAGTGGGAGACCTCTCAGCCACCACTTCCAGGTGCCCTGAAGTCGTTGGCAGGGGGTGCTGCCTACTTGGGGCTCCCAGACTAAGGGAACACATTCACCTGGTGACCACAATAGGCCCTGCAGGCTGAGGCACAGGATTTGACCAAGGACGCATCAGAGTTAGGGGACTGGGCCCTGACTCCTGCCAGCTGCAAACTCCCAAAGCCCCCAGCCCTCTCATGGGGTGAAGACACCCTGAAGGACACTCCAGTGTGCTCCCACCTCTGGGTTCTGCCAGCCAGAGAGTGGGACTCTCAGGCCACATGTGTCTTGCTGGATCTCAGCTTCAGGGACCCAGGGTGCTGGCAGCTCTCTGAGACCTGGGTCAGGGGGTGTCCATTAGAGCACCTTGGTCAGGACCCAGAGATAGGGAGGGCAGGGCTAAGAGCACCCCAGGCAGTTGGCATCTCCAGAAAGCAGGAGGTAGGGCATGGCTCTGTGACAGATGTTCCATGACAGGGAGGATTGGAGGGACAGAGGGACGTGCTCAGGGGCTGAGGGGCAGACGAGGCCACCAAAGGGCACCTTGGACACTGGATGGCCCCAGGAAGGCCCCTGAACCCCATCCTGATTGATCCAGGGCCAGTGACCTTGGCCCAGACTGCAGGCCTGGGAATTCAGGTTCCTTTAGTTTCTTAAGAAACTACTATACTCCTTTTTGGCATAGCTGTACGATTTTACATTCCCACCAGTCATGTGTGAAAGCTCCAGTTTTTACTCATGCTCCCCAGCGTTTGATGTTTTATTTTTATTTTAGCTATTCTGATATATATGTGTTAGTCATTGTGGTCTTAATTTGCAAATTTCTAATGACTAATGATATTTAACATCTTTTCCTGTTCATAATTAAATACCATCTGTATTCCTTTTCACATATCATTAGCACAAATGTGAGATATCAGAACAAAATTTTTCACACAACTTCAAAATTTTTAGAACAATACTCAAGGGAAAAGGTGTTTATTTAGAACAATGAAAACAATGAGACATTAACTTCCAGCTTAAATAAAGTTGATTGTGTGCATAAAAATGGTGAAAATATTGGACTTTCTTGGCAAAAGAAGAAAGGGGAAGACTTTATATTTTCTGACATAATATTCATCATTTGTCTTTGGTTTGTGTATTATGTGTATGATTTTGAAAAAAATGCATCAAAGATATAACTTTCTGGTGTTTGCTTTGATATTATCCTTGCAAACAGAAAAGTTGGCACATGTTTCTGTATAAAACTGGTCAAAGTTGGCCTAGGAATGATCTTACATTGTACTTTCACTTTACATCATACTGTAAGAGTTTAATAATAGCTAAGGCATCAGCATTGATGTGGACTTATTATACCTATTCAAGAGGTGGTGTGAGGTTTAGGAGAGTTATGTGCCCTTTATCATAAAACAAATCTATGAAGCATTTATATAAAAACCCAGTATTTCTGGTTTCAAATTCAGTACTGTGCCGTCTGCTTGATAGATTTGTTCGCAGGTTAGAGACATTTTATTGCATAACTTCCATGAAATATCACAGTTGTACTCTTGACTATGTTTGAATCACAAAAAGACTTTAATCTGCACTCAGTTCTTGTAACTAAAATCTTCAGTTTGAATATGAATTTCACTTAAAGAACATCCCTAGAAATTTCAGAGAGAAAAAGACTTTACTTGTAGAATACAATCTGCATTTGCTTTGACAACTAGTTAGTTCACATATGTAAAATAAGTCTACCTGTCTGTATGCATAATTAAGATGTAACAGTAGTGTGGTAATGACTTGTTAAAGCAATTAGAATGGCAGTGGATCATGGCACAATTTACCTTAAAAGCCGTGAGCAGAATACATCACAAGCTATGATACAATGAATAGTCATTAGGTTTAAAGTAGTATCCACATATAAAAACACAAAGCATATTTTAGCTCTTTAAATGAAAGCTTCATTCAGTCAATATTGGTCTTCCTGTAGATGCATTTATGAAACAGAACCACAAAACATACAGCTTACCCGCTTCTCAAAACTCATTGCACAATAGGTTGAGGGACTTCTCTACACCAGGACCTATTATTAAAACCAGTAAGTCCTCAGTGAAAATCATTTATTTGCCCGGAGTGTCATCTGATGTGTCTGTTGTAGGCAGCTGTGGCAGTGGTGGGTGGTTTAGTGACACGGACCCTGCCCACGTCTGTCCATCCATCAGTGGGCTAGTGTCTCTCTGGCTGCACCTGAGAAGGGTCTATAGGAGTTAACGGCATTAGCATGGGATTCAAAAGAAATCATCTTGGATTCAAACTTCCATTTCAGTATTCATTTCCAGCTAAGTTTGTGTAGCATGCTTAATGTTTCTGAAGCTCAATTTTAGTAATGGTAAAGTATATCTGCCTAAAAGACAGGGACACATCCCAGTTTTGTGTTTTTTTATTTTTATTTTATTGTATTTTTCTTGAGACGGAGTTTGCTCTTGCTGCCCAGGCTGGAGTGCAATGGTGCAATCTCGGCTCACCACAACCTCCGCCTCCTGGGTTCAAGGGACTCTCCGGCTTCAGCATTCTGAGTAAATGGAATTATAGGTGCCCGCCACCACGCCCAGCTAATTTTTTGCATTTTTAATAGAGACGGGTTTCACCATGTTGGCCAGGCTGGTCTTGAACCCCTGACCTCAGATGATCCACCCACCTCAGATGATAATCCCGCCAAGTGCTGGGATTACAGGTGTGAGCCACCATGCCCGGCCTTATCCTCAAAAAAGAATTTATCAAAATTGTATGTGTGTGTGTGTGTGTGTGTGTGTGTGTGTATGTTTTAAGTAGAGTAACACTATATTAAAATGCCACTATATATGTTCTAACAAAAAATCTCAATTTAACAAATGTATGTGGGGAGAGGGAGAGAGAGAGGGAGAGAGAGAGAAGGAGGGAGGCAGAGAGAGAGAGAAGAGAGAGATATGTATCTCTGGTGTCTCTTCCTTTTTGGATGATGACCCCAGTCCTAACAGATTAGGGCCTTACCCTTTTGCCCCTATTTAACCTTTACCTTCTTAAAAGCTCCTTCTCCAAATACAGTCACACTGGGAGATAGGGCTTTAGGTTAGGAATTCTGGGGGGACAAAATTCTCTCCAGAACAGACACTAATATCATGAGTGCTCAGATTGCTAGTGAATATGTTCTTGTTACAATTATTTTCACTTTGCAGTTTTAAATAATGAATACTTGGATAAAAAATACCCACTGTATTCTAATTTTTTCAACACTTCTTACTTGCATGGATTCTAAACAGAAGTCCAATGTAATTCTTATTTCTGTTTCTCTGTAGACAATGTGTTTCTTCCTCTGCCTTATTTTAATATTTTATCTTTGTTACAGGTTTTCTACGGTTTGAATATGATATTCCTAGGTATATTTTTAAAATATTCATCCTGCTTGGTGTTCTCTGAGCTTTTTGGATTTGTAATTTGGTGTCTGTCGCTAATTTGTGTTTTTTTCCTAGTTAAAAAAATGAACTTTATGGATTTTACATTCTCAACTTTCACTTATTTTCAAAATGAGAGACAAGACACCTAAACTCCAAGATTTCAGTCCTGAATGCAATAGTACCAGATTTTCAAGTTACATAAGTGAACTGCATAAACACCACTAGTTTCAAGTGTACCCTATAAGAAACACATGGACATACTTGCGTTGTTTAACCACACGGTGTCATATCAATAAACATCAAAGTATCTGACATATATTTGTCCATTAAAAGTAAACACAACTCTGAGTATCAAATTAAATTAATCATTTGCCTTTTATAATCTAAATCAGAAATTGAAAAACAGGAACATTGTAGAGGTAAGTGGCTGAAAATGCTCTGCTTACTGCACACAAGCACATCATGACAAAGAATGCTAGAAGTAGCTTTCCTCAGAAGTAATAATTGAACATTTAAAATATTATTTTCTCAGAAAAGTTAAAGCTTTTAGTGTAAAAAGCATGGTAAATGACATTTTAACTTAATAGTTAAGTATACAGCAAATTATAGATTACAAGCAATTAGTTACCCACATTTCACCAGAACCTTCAGTGAAAGTGTCTACTCTCAACATTGACCAGAACCTTCCTGTTCTGAAGTGTCTACTCTTTAGAGTTGCTTCAGCTTTACATATCTGTAAAACCTAAGATTACTCAATGAGAAGTTACACCTTATTCTGTACTAGATACACATAATATATATAGATTTAGAACAAATGGATGTTTTTCAACTTCAAAAAAAGTATTTTAATTTACACAATGTTAGATTGTTTTTCACCCATGTGTATACATAACAGTGTTTCCCAAATTCACAGGGTCCATTTCCATGATTCTAAAGCAAAAATAGAGGCACACAAATGGATAATAATTCATAGTTTTATGCCTTTTTTTAACCTATCTTTAAAGAAATTCAGTTGCCATTTAGACAAAGATGTGATGAACCTGTAACAAATTTCTATGACATGGAAAATTAAAGGTCTAAAAATCCTAAATGTAGTAGCTCTGGGCAGTTTGCAATTTGTGCATGGGTTCACTCACCCTATGGTCCGTGAACTCCCTTATCCTGCAAGCTGTAGGTACTTTCAGCAAATATGAGACTCAATAAGACTAAGGAAGGGCTTGTTTAAATTAGTTCCCCTCACAGTTGATTCTAATCTTGCAATGAACAGATTTAATGTACTAGTGAGTTAAATTTTAAAGTAATTATAAAGCCATTTACTCTATCATAAATGAATGAAATGTAAGAATCACACTTAAAACAAGTCTTTCATTTTAATGAATGGTATCTTTCATTTATATACAAAGGAATTCACTTGCCAGCAGCATTTAAATATAGGAATAGTCTCGTCTTTTCTCTAGTGCCTTTTATAAAGCAGTGCCATTTCTAACTAGGTGTATTTGTTTCCCAGCTATTCAGTAACTACACTATAGGTATCTAATAGATTCAAGAAAAGATTGGAAAATTGAGAAGATTTAGCATTTTAAACATTTGAAAAATGTTGCTACAAAGCATAGATTATGAATGCATTAGTAAAATAAATTGACACCTTATGTGAGAATCATTAAGTTGGTTTAATTATATCACAGAAGTATGGGCTCACTAATATTTATACCAATTTATGCTAATTAAACCAGAAAGTTTCTGTAGGTAATTCAGCTCTGAGCACCATTTAATAGGGTTATGCCAAATAGAACCAATGGTTATATAATACCCAGAATATAAACCTCAGCAAATTCAAACTTTTGGAATGGCAACACAAGTGAGAATGAGAGGCAATATTTCATTTCAAAGTACCGTAGGCTGCTAAGAGTGTTCTTTTCTTTTAAAAATTTGTGTGGTTGTTAGTAATGTACCTTAACACTGGTCCTCCTTGACAGCAGTGTTAGAGATGGTTAGGTAGAACCTATATTACGGAAGTCAGCGTTGCCCATTTCTTTAGTTCAGTGATTAAAATTGAAATTACTTTTACAAAACAATTGAACTGCTGCTTACAATATAAATAGAATACCAACAGGATTCCTGTTGTATTCACATTATTCTCTAATTAGTATTTTTACATTTCCACTCTGACCTGACCTTCAGTAGTTCCTTTATTTTTATTTTCAAACATTTTTGTGAGTATATAATAAGCATATATATTTACGGGGTGCATGAGATGTTTTGATACAGGCATGCAGCATGAACTAATCACATCATGGAGAGTGGGTATCCATCCCTTTAAGCATGTTTCCTTTGTGTTACAATCCAATTAGATTCTTTTAGTTATTTTTAAATGTACAATTATTGACTAGAGTCCCCCTGTTGTGCTATCAAATAGTATGTCTTATTCATTCCTTCTGCCTATTTTTGTACCCATTACCCGTGCCCTGTCTCCCCCCATCAGCCCCCTAGTACTTACTATGTCCTTGAGTTCAATTGTTTTGATTTTTAGATCCCACAAATAAGTGAGAACATGCAATGTCTGCCTTTCCGTGCTTGGCTTATTTCCCTTAACATAATGATATCCAGTTCCTTCCATGTTGTTGCAAATGACTGAATCTCATTATTTTTTAGGGCTGAATAATACTCCACTGTGTGTATCTACCACATTTTCTTTAATACATTAATCTGTTGATGGACACTTAGGTTGCTTCCAAATCTTAGCTATTGTCAACAGTGGTGCAACCAACATGGGAGTGCAGATAATTTCTTCGATATACTCATTTCTTATTTCTGGGGTATATATCCAACAGTGGGATTGCTGGATCATGTGGCACCTCTATTTTCAGTGTTTAGAGGAACCTCCAAACTGTTCTCCACCATGGCTGTACCAGTAGTACCTTAAAATGCAAATGCAATTGGTAAAAGAACAAGGCAGCATGTAGTGCTTGCACTTACAAATACTACCAGTTTTGTAACAATTTGCATTTTTTTTTGTCCTTGAAAGAGTAACCACTTACTTAATAAAACTAATATTTAAAAGCGCAATATTCCTTCCTTTGCATGGCATGCAGGAATGGTGAAAACAAAGAAACAGTCATCCCTTCTCTTCCCCCCACTTCTGGTCTCCCGAAATAGGAATGCCAGGTCAGACAGGTGGAGGAGGGAAATGGGGCACAGGTCAAGGTATGATGAATCTCTTAAAAAGAAATCTGGCCAGGCACAGTGGCTCACGCCTGTAATCCCAGCACTTTGGGAGGCAGAGGCGGGCGGATCACGAGGTCAGGAATCGAGACCATCCTGGAGAACACGGTGAAACCCCGTCTCTATTAAAAATACAAAAAAATTAGCCGTGTGTGGTGGCGGACGCCTGTAGTCCCAGCTACTGGGAGGCTGGGGCTGGAGAATGGCGTAAACCCGAGGGGCGGAGCTTGTAGTGAGCGGAGATGGCGCCACTGCATTCCAGCCTGGGCGACAGAGCGAGACTCCTTCCCCCGACCGCCAAAAAAAAAAAAAATACCGCTTTCCCCAGAATGCTAGCCTGATAGGAACTCCACCCCATCCATTCCAACCTAGTAAGGATAGTTTAGTTTGTGTTTTCTGGTCTCACTTCCTTACTTCTAGTGTTCTTTTTTTGTTTCTGTTATTAAATTTCAGAAGACAAACCTTAGCATTTTCTAAAAGAAATTATTTTTTACCTAAATACATTGGACTTTGGTCTTAATGTGAAGGAATAGGATAAGTGGACTTTAAGAGAGCGTTCCTACTCCTTCTCTTCCAGTGGCTGCTCTGGGTCCCTGAAAGAGGGTGTGATGTGGACCATCTGGGTTGTGAAGTGGATTTTGCTGAGCCTGTGTTTTTTAAGTCCATTAGTCCTGCCCGAGGCTATGCGCCCTGGAATCCTTGGCTTCACGTCTGGACCACCTTCAGCCAAGTGGTGATGGTGGAGAGGGTCCCCCCATCTTCCAGGACATGTGAGAGTTTGTAGGTGGTGAGATGGAGGGGGCAGCTTTTAAATCTTCCAGTACCCACCTCCGCTGCTGGCAGTGCTCTCCCCATCGTCTTGTCCAGGACTCCCATCAGGGTCTCAATCTCTTCTGTGATGCTCTGACTCACATGCTGGGAGGCCCTTTCCCAATGTAGTCCCTGATGTCCACATCGGCGTCCTATGTCCCCACTAGCAGCTTCACCATCTCCAAGGTACATGGCTGCCAAGTGCAGGGCGGTGTAGCTCTGGCCTTGCTGTTCCCAGGCAGCAGAGGCTCGTTGGGGAAGTTGACCAGCATGGCCATAAGCTCCAGCCTGCAGTGCTAGGTGCCTGCGCAGGCAGGTGAGGCTGTGATGAAGCCCAGAGTGGCCAGCATGCCGGCTGGCATGGGGACAACCCCCTAAGCTGTCCACTCCCCATAGGAGGCCGAGAGCAGCCAGCCGTGCTCCCTGGTCCAGCTCACCCAGCCCCACAGCTCTCCTCCGCGGACGGGAAAGCCAGCGCTGCGCTGCCAGAGTCACTCGCCTCTGCGGTGTCCTCGGAGGAGGAGCTCCCAGGCTGCTGCCTCCAGGACACAGGTTCCTCTTCAAGGGCAGGGCACTGCGCCTTCCCAAGTCGCTCAAGTTCTGGCGGAACGGCCTCGGGGCGGTAGCCCCCCAGGAGCTGCCCCTGTCCGCCTCCTGGCAACCGTGGGGCGGGGGCTCCAGGTCCTCTCTGGTCTGAGGTCCTGCATCTGGGGTAGGGGCTGGTGGAGCCGGCGAGCTCTTCTTGCATCCCCGCCGCTCAGGGCGGCCCGTTCAGGGGCTGGGCTCCCCCTTGCCCAGCTCGGCCCTGCCTGTGGAGCACCTCGGGGACCGCTGTTTCAGGGAGGGGATGGTGAATGCTGCGCTCCGCGTTCACGTGGACGCGGGACAGGTCCCAGGGGCGCGGCCTCAGGCGGAGGCCCCACCAGAACCTCTTCCTGAGACGCAGGTACTGGGCGCCATCGACGGGGTCCCTGCAGTGGCCACAGCGTTCACCCGGAGATACATTTAAACAGTTTTATTCTCCTGTTTTTTATTTTTTCATTCCAGAAACCATTACTACTATGCAACAAAGTAAAAATATCTAGTTTAAATAATAATTTGATATGGTCAGGTGGGGATGAGTGCACACGTGTGTGTACACACACACGCAGGCTCTAAATGGGATATTTTGGCGGAGCAGAGGGATAAGGCTTTTATTTCGTTGGCGTGTTGAGTTAGAATCGCCCTTCTCACAATTAAATAATTTAAATCAGGAGTTTTATTAAAGCTAATTTGTACAACTAGGCAACATCTTTTCTCCATATATTTATACACATATACACATCTCTAATATTTGCATTTATTACTTCATCTAAAAGAGCTTGGAAAAAGGGTCCTAGGTCTTGGCTAGTTAAGGTAAAAATCTATATTTTAAGGTAATAAAAACGTTTGCTATGGACAGAGACATGCAGACACTGTGGGTGAAGCTGATTCATGTTCCATGGAAGGAAATGACGTGGGGTTTTCTAAGGGAAAGCCCAGCATGCTGCAAGGGAGGGGAGGTCCCAGGAGGGAATTGGAGTCAGCATTAGGATCTAAGTGTCACAGGGGAGTGTATTCCCAAAAAAGACTGTGACTGTTTCTGTGTCCATCCTGAACTGGTTACCATGAGTGTGTGTGTGTGTGTGTGTGTGTGTGTGTGTGTGAATTAAAAGAGGAGTTACATGCTGGGGCATTTCTGGTATCTCAACTGGCATCTCAGCTGCTGGTGATGATGGCTATACATTTTCCTCAGTATTCATTGTGCGTATTTTGAGTTAACAGTCCACCCATTGGCTGAGGCAGGTGGATCATCTGAGGTGAAGAGTTCGAGACCAGCCTGGCCAATATGTGAAACTCTGTCTCTACTAAAAATACAAAAATTAGCCAGGCATGGTTGCAGCACCTGTAGTCCCAGCTACTCGGGAGGCCAAGACAGGAGAATTGCTTGAATCCAGGAGACAGAATTTGCAGTGAGCTGAGATGGACCACTGCACTCCAGCTTGGGCAGCAGAGTGAGACTTGGTCTCAAAAAAAAAAAGTTATTGTGACATGCTGTACACATTCACAAATTCAGTGTCTCCCAGAAGTCTGAGATTCTTTTTTTCTTTCTTTTTTTTTTTTTTGAGAAGGAATTTCACTCTTGTTGCCCAGGCTGGAGTGCAGTGGTGTGATCTCGGCTAACTACAACCCTTCCTGGGTTCAAGCGATTCTTCTGCCTCAGCCCAAGTAGCTCCTGCCTCCCAAGTAGCTGGGATTACAGGCATGTGCCACCATGCGCAGCTAACTTTTTATTTTTAGTAGAGTTGGGGTTTCTCCATGTTGATCAGGCTGGTCTCGAACTCCTGATCTCAGGTGATCCACCCGCCTTGGCCTCTCGAAGTGCTGGGATTACAGCCATGAGCCACCATGCCCAGCCAGAAAGTTTTAAGGCTATGATTATTAGACCATCATACACACAAAAAGTACTTAAAAAGTCTCAGGAATGCAGTCCCTCATTGGCCTGGTATGACAAAGATAAAAAGAAGTTGGTCGTGAAAATTTCTGAATGTGGTTTAAGACAAGGAACCCCAGTAAGATTCAGAGACAACCTAGAAAATTGAAAGACAATTTTACTACCCAAATCACCCTTCTATAAAAAATAATAGAAGATGTCAAATATGAAAATAAAACTGTCCTCTGGGCCCTCAATTTTCTGTGTTATTGGGAAGGCAGACAGCTACTCAGCAGTTATATCCCATAAGAATGGATAACACTAAAACAACTGAAAGCATCAAGTATTGGTTAGAAAGTGGAACTGATTCTCATACATTTTCATTTTAGTTTAAGATGGCACAACCACTTAGGAAAATGTCTCCCTATTTCATACAATGCCAAATATATACTTATTTTATAACCCAGAAAATCCACTCTTATGTACTTAAACCCAAGAAAAGTGAAAATATTATTACAGAAAAATGTGTATATCTGATTTGTTCGTAGAAGGTTTATT
Organism: Homo sapiens; assembly: GCF_000001405.40. Taxonomy (NCBI): domain Eukaryota; kingdom Metazoa; phylum Chordata; class Mammalia; order Primates; family Hominidae; genus Homo; species Homo sapiens. Next base: position 71,168 of record NT_113888.1, read on the forward strand.
CATGATAGCCTCAAATCAGAAACTGCTTTTGTGTCTATCAATAGTGGAGTGGATTATAAACAAAACAAGCAAAGGCCTCAAACCTGTGGTATAGTCATAAAATTAAGTATTACAAAATAAAATTAATGAATAATCAATAGGAGCAAAATGATGTCACAAGCATGTTTAGTGAATGAACATAAAAATTATATAATTTATAGTTTCACTTATGTAAATGGTGAAAACAGACAAAACTATCCTTTTGTGGAAAGAATCAAAACCATGGAAGCCTCTGTGTTCAAATACTGAATGGAAATGGGCATGAGAAAACGTGTTTCTGCCAGATCTTCTATATGCCTGATGTACATTCACTCGATGTATTTTGCATACATTATTTTTGCAAATAAAACTGAGATAGACGCAAAATAACTCAAGAGAAAATAGCTAGAAATAGGTAGAGTTGGGATAGAAGCCTTGGAAGCTCCCCCCTACCTTGCTCACCTGGCACAGGCTGAGGAAGCCCTGGGACAATGCTGTGAGCGATCTGAGGGCCTTCCAGGGGAGCCCCGCCAGCCCATGCTGGTGCCCGAGCTGCCCGCTGCCATCTGAATATGTTGCAAAGACAGTGCTGGCCTGGCAACCGGTGACGCTCCATGCCCCACCCCGACCCCCACTTCTACCCAAGTAGCGGCAACCCCAGAGACAGATGCCTGGGCGTCAGTGGCTAAGTCTGGTAGTTGGCCAGGCGGCCAAAGGACGGGAACTGGCCGTTCACCCCATCCCAGTTTCCACGGAGAACTCAACCACCATGGCCCCTGAGCTGACCCTCAGGCCTGGGCTGTGCTCTGTGCCTGCAAACCTGATGCCATCCAGGGGAGCTCGGCCTTCCCACGCCAGCACCTCAGCTGCTGCAGAAAACTGCAAAACTGCAAGTTGCACACAGGCAGAGATGACGGAGCAACCCCTGACCCTCCGTGCCACTCACCCTACCCGCACACACACTTGCCACGCGGACCCTGAAGCCAGTGCCTGGGCGCCCAAGTCAGGCAGTCCACACAGCAGTGGCACCAGGCTGAAAACCTGCTGCTCAATACCATCCCGGTTACCACGAAGAGCCAGCCCTGGTGGCCCCTGAGTTCTTGGAGGAGGCCAAGTCACAGCAACCCCTCAAGTGGGTGGGCGATGCACTTGACCCTGAGGACATCAGGTACCAGGCCTGCCAGCTGACTCCAGCATCGGAGCCGCAGCTGCAGTCTAGACGTGGTGCACCGGCAATAAGTGACTGGACACCCCAGACCAGGCCCGCCCCCAAGTAGCGTGGATCTTGAGGCCAGACCCCTAGGCGGCAAAATCAGGCGACGGGCCCCGCCAGCAGCCGCTCAGTTTCATCCATGTGGATACAGAGTGCCCAGCTCCCGGGCCCAGGATCCAGAGAGATGCCCAAGAGGAGTGGAACTTGAGGCCAGGTGGGCTGTGCGCTCTGCGACCCTGAGGCCATCCAAGGGAAGCTCCGCCGTCCCACGCCAGTGCCAGATCTGCAGCTGCAAACTGCGCATGGGGCACTGGCAGCAGTGAGGGCTGGTGGGGGAAGGAGCAGCCCCTGACTCTGCCCCCATGCCTCTCCAGCTACCTGACACTAGCCACACAGACTCCAGGGCCAGAGCCTCAGCGTGAAGCCGGGCCATCTGCGAAGCCACCCAGGTGGCCACGGAGTGCCCTTGCCAGCACCCTATCTCCCTTCCGAGGAGGAGCGGGGCGGGCTGCAAGGCCAGACAGGCCCTCCTTCTCAGGCCGGGCTGGCGGCGCTCCTGCGATCCTGGGGACGCCCGGGCGATCCCAAGAGGACCTGCGAGCCCATCGGCGCCCGCCCAGAGCTGCAGCCCCACCTGCCAGCGCGCGCCACCAGGGAACGGCTTCCGGGAGCCGGGCAGCAACCGCGGTGCATGCGCGCGCCCAACGGCTTTGCGAGGCTCACTCTGTCTGAGAGGTCGGAGGCTGCGAGTGTCACTGCTGAAGGCTGTGGTGGACCGGGCTGGATCATGGACTGTGGAGTAGATCACAGATTTGGGATCGCGGATTGGGGGTTGATCACAGATTTGGGTTTGGATCAGGGATTTGGGGTTGGATAGGGGATTTGGGGCTGGGTCGGCCGGGGTCGGGGGAGGGGGTGGGTGAAAAGGTGACAGGGAGGTCGGCCGGGGTCGGGGGAGGGGGGTGGTGAAAAGGTGACAGGGAGCTGCCCCCGCTCAAGAGCCGGAGGTTGGGGGTCTGAGAAGTCACCACTATGAAGTTATTCGGCTTCGGGAGCCGCAGGGGCCAGACAGCCCACGGCTCCATAGAACATGTCTACACGGGTTCCAGATACCGAATCTGGGACTCCGAACTGCAGAAGATCCACAGGGCAGCTGTCAAGGGCGACGCCGCGGGGGTGGAGTGCTGCCTGGCGCGCAGGAGCGGAGACCTGGATGCCCCGGACAAGCAGCACAGGTAGCGGGGACTCAGCCCGGGGTGGGAGGGGGTCCCCAGGCCTGGCTTCCCCACTGCCCCTGGGACGGGGCCTTTCAGGGCTCTGGGCACCCTCAGAGCGGCGGAGCCAAACGGACTCTCAGCTGTTTTCCATCCCTCATAATTCCATGGCTGGAGCAGTTGGAGAATTTGAGTGATTTAACTCACAAAGTTAAGCATACACAGTGTTGTTATTTTTAACGTACACGTTGAAAACATGGTTTATATACATTATAGGAGGTGCCTAATGAGAGAACTTGTTCCCCTATCAAAAATACCGTGAGTTATTTCAGTAGGCAAAAAGTTCTCAGATAAGAGAGCTTACTTGAAAAATATTTACTATATTATATATATATATGTATGTATGTATTTTCTGATGAAAAGTATGTTTTCATTTTATAGGGAATTCATTATATTCTTTTTTTTTGTTTTTGAGTCGGAGTCTCACTTCTTTGCCCAGGCTGGTGTCCAATGGCACAATCTTGGCTCACTGCAACCTCTGCCTGCCGGGTTCAAGCAATTCTCCTACCTCAGCCTCCCAAGTAGCTTGGATTACAGGCAGGTGCCAGCGTGCCTGGCTAATTTTTGTATATTTAGTAGAGAGGGGGTTTCACCACGTTGGCCAGGCTGGTCTCGAACTCCTGACCTCAAGTGATCTGCCCGCCTCCGCCTCCCAAAGTGCTGGGATTACAGGTGTGAGCCACCGCGCCCGGCCTATGTTGTTTATTATATATCATAAGTTATATATATATATATATATATATATAACTGATACGTATACATATATACCAGATATAATATGTCATATATATCAGTTATATATACACATTAGATGAAAAGTACGTTTTCATTTGACAGGGAATTCTTTCAAATCAAATCATCAAACACTCTAAAATTGGGCAAAGTACACTTTTCCAGATCTGCAAGTTACTTGTGTACATAGGAAAAAGTCCTTCGCATTTCTGGTATAAGAATTTAAATTAAAAGAGGAATGAAACAGTTTTCTATCCACAATATTTGTGAGGATGTTTTATACTCCTGCTTAAAGTTTAAGTTGCTGATTACTTTTCAAATAGATAATTTGGTGGTAAGTACTACAATTAAAAAATATGTATGCCCTTTACCCATCAATTCCATTATACTAAAACACCCTTAGGAAATAAAGATACATGCACTTTATTTTTCACCTCACTTATTTTAAAAAGAACCCAAAGAATGGATCCCATAAATAAACTTCAGTTGCATCCACAGGATGGAATAATATGTGACCATTGAAGGTGGCAATAGATACAGAAGTATATTGATGTGCGAAGATGTATTTTGTTATAGCTAGTGAGAAAAAAATCAATTAAGTTATACATACAAACATACTATGGTCTTGTTTTATCAAAAAATATGTACAAAATATAAAATTTGTAATTTCTGAGCATTTGTATTTTAAGTAAAGTTCTTTTCCTTTTTCTTATCTGTGATTGCTGCAGTAAGCATGTACAAAACTTCTAGTAAAGTTTATTAATAAAGAAATAATCCTTGGGAAGACAGGAATATGAATCTTACAATATTAAAAATAATTTCTTACTTTCTATTTTTAATCATTATTGAGTGTATTGTTATCTTCTTTGAACTTTTAGCCTCTTCAGAAGTAAAAAGGGAATATTTTTATCTGTTTCCAGATTTTATTATCTATATATTTTATTATGTACATATGTTTTTCTTATGTATTCATTCAATTTATGCAAACAATGATAGATTAATCATTTCATTTTAATTGTATTCTTAAATAAAAATAACATATAAATATTACTATTGCAAAAATATTGCTTTATAGGCGTTTATTTAAAAATATTGAACTCCCCAACTGTATTTTTCCATTCTTTCATTCCATTTATTCATCAAACATAACCTGAGTACCTGTTATGTAGCAGACATATTCTGCTATCTCTCAGGTCCCTTCTATCCTTAAAAACTTCATGTTTACCTGCCCTGCCTGCACAAGCTGAGAGATTTAAAATAGGAATATTGGGACTTAATCTCCTTGAAACTTTGTCACCCAACTTTCAAACAAAAGCATTTCTGAAGTTAGAAAATAGTAGAAGATAAGCTTTAACTGCCCACTCAAAAGTTTATCAGTCTTAAATACTAATATTAATCATGGGAATGTCTTATTTGCATATATTCTGTAAGCATAAATATTGAATAAAATGAGCCATATGTATTCATTTGAATCATGAGTTTCCTTTGTCTTCAATTTGTTTGAAAATCAAGGAATTAATTTGTTTGAAAAATGCATTATTATTATTTCAGTGTTCTATCCCCATAGTACCTTTAAGCAGGCGGACAAGCCAGCAACCTCACCCACTCAAGGAAACCCAGATGGCCAGGTTCCAATAGCATGAGTAGCTGCCACCTGATGGCTGATGGAGCAGAGTCCTGAGGAAAAGCAGATGGCACTGGGGCCCTAACTCTAGGGCAGAAGAACTGATGTACTGTGACTGGCAGCATGTGAGGTTGGTGATTGGCCCACCTGTTCCTGGCACACCCTTGCAGAGGTGGCTGGTTGCTCTTTGAGCCAGCTTGGCCTTGCCTGGCATGCACAAGCCTTGGTGCAACAACCGTGCTACAAATGGAGCCATATATAGGAAAGGAGTAGGAGGCTCAGGAGCAGGGTGTGCACTGCCTTTGGGGCTCCAGTGCATGCCTCAGGGCTCCTATGGCACTGCAGGCTTCTTTGTTGCCAAGAGGCAGACCACAGGACGTCTTGAGGAAGACTTTATGTACAAGTGCAGAAAGCAGCCAGGATTACCACCCAGGGGACTCGGCCTTCTGTGGCCCTGGCCTGACAGAATTTGGCCCAAGGCAGGACAAGGTCACTCAGAGCAGTGTGTCAGTAGGTGGGGCCTGTGCATGCGAGGCAAGGCCAAGCTGGCTCAAAGAGCAAGCAGCCACCTCTGCAAGGGTGTGCCTGGAGCAGGTGGAACAGCCACCAACCTCACCCACTGAAAGAAGCCAGGATGGCCAGGTTTCCACAGCCTGAGTGGCTGCCTCCTGATGGCTGATGGAGCAGAGGCCTGAGGAAAAGCAGGTGGCATATTTAACTCTTTAATCCATCTTAAGTTAATTTTTATATAAAGCAGATGGCACCAGTCCATGCCTCAGGGCTCATATGGCACTGTGGGCCACAGAAGGGTGAGTCCCCAGGGTGGTAATCCTGCCTGCTTTCTGCACTTGAACATAAAGTCCTCCTCAAGATGGCCTGTGGTCTGCCTCTTGGCCCCACCTTTAGGGTAGAAGAACTGATGTACCACGTCTGGCAGTGAGTGAGGTTGGCAGCTGGTCCATCTGCTCCTGGCACACCCCTGCAGAGGTGGCTGCTTGCTCTTTGAGCCAGCTTGGCCTTGCCTGGCATGCACAAGCCTCGCTGCAACAAGTGTGCTACAAATGGAGCCATATAGAGGAAATGATCAGCAGGCTCAGGAACGGGGCGTGCACTGCCTTTGTGGCTCCAGTCCATGCCTCAGGGCTCGTATGGCACTGTAGGTTTCTTGGTCGCCAACAGACAGACCACAGGCTTTCTTGAGGAGGACTTTATGTTCAAGTGCAGAAAGCAGCCAAGATTAGCACCCAGGGGACTGGGCCTTCTGTGGCCCTGGCCAGACTTAGAATTTGACCCAAGGCAGGACAAGCTGACTCGGAGCAGAGTGTCAGTACCTGGGGCCTATGCATGCCAGACAAGGCCAAGCTGGCTCAGAGCAACTAGCCACATCTGCAAGGCTGCACCTGTAGCAGGCAGACAAGCCAGCAACCTCAGCTACTCAAGGAAGGAGGGATGGCCAGGTTCCCACAGCCTGAGTGGTTGCCGCCTGATGACTGATAGAGCAGAGGCCTGAGGAAAAGCATATGGCACTGGGGCCCTACCTCTAGGGTAGAAGAACTGATGTAAGCTGACCGGCAGCAAGTGAGGTTGGTGGCCAGTCCACCAGCTCCTGGCACAACCTTGCAGAGGTGGCCAGTTGCTTTTTGAGCCAGCTTGGCCTTGCCCTTCATGCACAAGTCTGTGCAACAACTGTGACACAAATGGAGCCACACAGAGAAAATGAGCAGCAAGCTCAGGAGCAGGGTGTGTGCTTCCTCAGGGGCTCCAGTCCATGCCTAAGTGTTCATATGGCACTGTGGGCTTCTTGGTTGCAAAGAGGTAGACCACAGGCCATCTTCAGGAGGTCTTTATGTGGAAGTGAAGAAAGCAGCCAGGATTACCACCCGTGGGACTCGGCCTTTTTTGGCCCTGGCCTGAAAGAATTTGGCCCAAGGCAGGACAAGCTCACTCGGAGCAACATGTCGGAACCTGGGGCCTGTGCATGCCAGGCAAGGCCAAGCTGGCTTAAAGAGCACCCAGAGCATCCATTCTGGTGGATAAGCCAACCACATGGCCAGCTTCTGGGTGTGGACACAGTGCCACATCTTCCATCACTTTCTGACGTATCCCACCAACACTGAAGAGACAGCCTGGAGAGAGTGCAAGAGGAAGGCTGAGAAGGATCAGATAGTGGGTGCTGGCTTCTTTCTGACCCTCAGCACACCCCCAGGTGGTGACCATCAACCTTTAGGGGTGGGAGAGCAAGACTGATGGCTTCAAATGCTTCCCCAAGAAGATGGACACAGGCCACTCAGCTCATCCTCACTGCCAATGAGTTGACAAGCAAGCAGATGACAGTGACAGGCTTTCAGAAAGAGCATCAGAAGGTGGCCAGTTTTTCTTCAGCCTCAGCCAGGCCTTAGAACTTGACTAGGCCATCCACTTCACCAGAGATGCCTTCAAGAACATCAGTAAGCTCTTTGCCAATGAGTCCAGGAAGGACCTGGACCCAGCCATGGACCTGTTAGTGCTGTCTCAGGGACACCAGACCAACATTCTGGACATCATCTTCATACACAAGGAAGCTCTTACCAAAGTCACAGAGAACAGGCAACATGTGGCAGAAGGGAAGACAGAGGTGCAGAGGCTGATGGCATCATTATCACAGGAACAGGATTTCTTTGGCCACTTTGGCTGAAATTCACCACTTCCATCCAATTCACTCAAGCGAGAGACTTGAAATCACAGATGGACCATTTCTTGCAACAAGAGATACTATTTTTTCAAAAAGTCACCTAAAATTTGATAGTGTTGAATGACTAGCTATTCTATTGTGGACTTTTTCCACTTCACGGGTACTTTCTACAGCAGAATGATAACAGTATCAAAGAGCTAGTGCCAGCTATCGGTGGTAGTACAAGGATGACTTTGTGCTCAACTGAAACCCAGCTGAATATAGAACTGTCTAGGAAAGTGTTAATATGGTGATAGAATAGAAACAGTAACAAATGAACTAAATCATACTATGAATGCCTACACTACCATTATAACTTTTTGAAGAATGATAATACCACTTACTTTATTGCTTTTTGAAGTAGGAATATTTTAGTGGATATGCTATAGACCTGAAACCCTATAAAGAATCCCAAAGAAGCTGGCTGGATAAAGCCTGCTATGGATGTCTTTATACTCAAAGACTGATGAGGCAATTCGAATATGTGTCCCCACCAAATCTCATGTTGAGTTATGCTTCCTAATGTTGGAGGTGGATCCTGTTATAAGGTGATTGAATCATGAAGGCAAATTTCTCATGAGTGGTTCAGCACTATCCCCTTGGTACTGTCCTCACAATCATGAGTGAATTCTCGTGAGATCTGGCCACTGAAAACTCTATATCACTCCCTACTCTCCGTGATTTCCTCTTGCCATATGAGACAATTCACTCTTTCATTACCTTGCACAATGATTGAAAGATTTCTGAGGCCCCCCAGAAGCAGAAGCACTAAGCTTCTTGTCCACTCTGCAGAACCATGAGCCAATTAAACCTCTTTTTCGAAATAAATCTTACCAAAAATGGCAAATGAGGACTGGAGCATTGCTATAAAGATACCTGAAAATGTGGAAGCAACTTCGGAACTGGGTAATGGGTAGAGGTTGGAAGAGTTTGGAGGGCTCCAAAGAAGACAGACAGATGAGAACATTTTTGGACCATCTTAGAGACTGGTTAAATGGCTGTGACAAGGATGCTGACAAAAACAAGGACAGTGAAGGCCAGGCTGAGGGGGCCTCAGATAAAAATAAGAAGGTTTCTGGAAAATGTCTCCCTTTTGGATATGGAAAGCTTACACAATGCCTGTACCATCATTGTACCTTAGACGCAGTGAACTTGCTTTTTATTTCAGAGACTCGTAGGCAAAAGAGAATGTAGCCTTGACCCAGATGAGACTTTGCACTTTGTAACTTTGAGTTAATGCTGAAATGAGTTAAGACTTTGGGAGACTGCTGGCAAGGCATGACTGTATTTTGAAATGTGAGAAGGACATGAGATTTGTGGGGTCAGGGACAGAATAATACGGTTTTTCTCTATGCCCCTTCCAAAGCTCATGTGAAAGTACACTCCCTAATGTTAGAGTCGGGGCCTAGGTGGAAAAATCTTTAATCATAAAGGGGTGGGAGTGGATCCTTCACAAATGGCAAAGCACTAAGCCCTTAATGCCATCCTCCTGATAGTGAGTGAGTTCTCATGAGATCTAGTAGTTTAAAAGGCTGTGGAACCTCTTTCCTCTCTCTGTCTTGTTCCAACTTTTGCCATATGAAACATGTCATTGCCGCTTGGATTTCCGGCGTGGTTAGGAGGGGCTTGATCAGTGTGGGCCTGGTCAGTGGACCTAGGTCTGTGAGGACTATTTAGTGGGATTGTGGTCAGCAGGGGTCTGCTTAGAGAGGGTCTCATTAGTGGGGTCTAGTAGTGGGGGTTTTGGTGAGTGGGGACCTATTGGCTGCCAGTTGTTTGGTGTCTGGTCAGTGCAAACCTGGGCTGTGGGGCTTGATCAGTGGAGACCTGGTCAGCTGGGGCTTAGTGCTGGCCTGGTCAGCATGGGCTGGGGCACTGGTGACCAGGTCAAGGGGTGCTATTCAGTGGAGGACTGGGCACATGGGACCTAGTCAGCAGACCCTGGTGGGCGTGTCCTCATCAGTGAGGCCCTTGTCAGTGGGGCCCTGGTCAGGGCAGCCTTGTCAGTGGGACCTAATCTGTAGTGTCCTGGTCAGAGAGGACTTGGTCAGTGGTGACTTTTGTAGCACTGGTCTACAGGGTGACCTGGTCAGCGGGGATCTCAGCATTTGGTGCCAGTTCAGTGGGGTCTACTCACTAGGGTCCCAGTCAGGGGCATCTGGTGACCTTAGGCCTGGTTATTAGGGGCCTGATCAGTGGCAACCTGTTCCCTGGAGGCCTGGTCAGTGGGGCCTCATCTTTGGGGCCAGGGAATGAGGTCATGATCAGTGGAACCTGATCAGTGAGGCCTTGTCAATAATGATGTGTGGGGTCCGGTCAGCAGGGAGGGTGTCATCAGGGAGGACCTGATGTGTGGGGTCTGGTCAGCAGGGACCTGGTCAATGTGGGCTGCTGAGCACTGCTTGGATAAGCCAGGTGCAATGTGCATTATTGAAGGCCCTGTGGACAGCTGGGATAGCCCAGTGATGCCCAAGGGCCTAGTCAAAAGTGGACAAAGCACGTGTTTCGATGGACCTGGGAGATCCTGTTCAGAGATTCTGACAGGACAAAGGTAAAGGAAGAGCCAGAGTGGCTGCAGAGATGGTCACAGTCTATGGGCTGCACAGGATGAAGGAGGCCAGGGAGCAGGCAGGGTGGGCAGTTGGGGTTCAGGGAGAGGCAGGTGCATGCTGGGAGGTCAGACCCTGTGAGGGCTTTGGGGGTGTCAGGTTGGGTAGGCTCCAGGCACTCTCACTCACATAGGATTCCAGAACACTGCTAAAAGGCTCTGAGTGTTTGTCCCTCACATAGGATTCCAGAACACTGATGCTATTGTCTGAATGTTTGTCCCCCACATAGGATTCCAGAAGCTTGCTGCTGGGGTCTGAATGTTTGTCCCCCATCTAGGATTCCAGAACACTGCTGCGAGGGTCTGAATGTCTGTCCCTCACATATGATTCTAGAACATTGATGCTAGGGTCTGTATGTTTGCCCTTAACATATGATTTCAAAACACTGCTCCTGGATTCTGAATGTTTGTCCTTCACATAGGAATACAGAACACTGCTGCTGGAGTCTGGAAGTTTGTCACTCACATAGAATTCCAGAACACTGCTGTGAGGATCTGAATGTTTGACCCTTACATGGGATTCCAGAACACTGCTGCGAGGGTCTAAATGTCTGTCCCTCACATAGGTTTCCAGCACAATGTTACGAGGTTCTGAATGTTTGTCCCTAACATAGGATTTCGGAGCACTCCTGCTGTGCTCTGAATGCTTCTCCCTCACATAGGATTCCAGAACACTGCTACGAGGGTCTGAATGCTTATCCCTCATATAGGATTCCAGAACACTCCTGCTGTGGTCTGAATGTTTGTTCCTCACATAGGATTCCAGAATACTCCTGCCGTGGTCTGAATGTTTGTCCCTCACATAGGATTCCAGAATACTCCTGCCGTGGTCTGAATGTTTGTCCCTCACATAGGATTCCAGAACATTCATGCTGGGGTCTCAATGTTTCCCTTAACATAGGATTTCAGAACACTGCTCTTGGGGTCTGAATGTTTGCCCCTCACATAGGATTACAGAACACTGCTGCTGGAGTCTGAATGTTTGTCAGTCACATAGAATTCCAGAACACTGCTACAAGGGTGTCAATATTTCTCCCTCACCTAGTATTCCAGAACACTGTTGCAAGGGTCTGAATGTTGGTCCGTCATATAGGATTCCAGAACACTGCTGCTGTGGTCTGAATGTTTGTCCCTCACATAGAATTCCGGAACACTGCTACAAGGGTCTGAATGTTTGTCCTTCACATACCATTCCAGAACACTGCTGCCGTGGTCTGAATGTATGTCCCTCACATAGGATTCCAGAACACTGCTACTAGGTTCTGAATGTTTTTCCCACACCTAGGATTCCAGAACACTTCTGCTGGTGTCTGAATGGTTGTTCCTCACATATATTCCAGGACACTGCTACGAGAGTCTTAATGTTTGTCCTTCACGTAGGATTCTAGAACACTGCTCCCATGGTCTGAATGTTTGTCCTTCACATAGCATTCCAGAACACTGCTGCTGGGGTCTGAATGTCTGCCCCTCAAATCAGATTCCAGAACACTGCTGCTGGGGTTTGAATGTCTTTCCCTCACATAGAATTCCAGAACATGGCTGGGAGGGTCTGAATGTTTGTCCCTCACATGGGATACCAGAACACTGCTGCAAGGGTCTAAATGTCTCTCCCTCACATAAGATTTCAGGACACTGCTATGAGGTTCTGAATGTTTGTCCCTCACATAGGATTCCAGAGCACTCCTGCTGTGGTCTGAATATTTGTCCCTCACATAGGATTCCAGAACACTGCCACGTGGGTCTGAATGTTTGCCCTCACATAGGATTCCAGAACACTCCTGCTGTAGTCTGAATGTTTGACCCTCACATAGGATTCCAGAACACTCCTGCTGTGGTCTGAAAGTTAGCTCATCACATAGGACTCCAGAACACTGCTAAGAGGGTCTGAATGTCCCTCACATTGTATTCCAGAACACTCCTTCTGTGGTCTGAATGTTTGTTCCTCACATAGGATTCGAGAACACTCCTGCAGTGGTCTGAATGTTTGTCCCTTACCTAGGATTCGAGAACATTCACACTGGGATGTAAATGCTTGCCCTTAACATAGGATTTCAGAACACTGCTCCTGGGGTCTGAAAGTTTGTCCCTCACATAGGATTCCAGAACTCTCCTGCTGTGGTCTGAAAGTTTGTACTGCACATAGGATTCCAGAACACTGCTGCTGTGGTCGGAATGTTTTTCTGTCACATAGGATTCCAGAACACTGCAGCTGGGTTCTGAATGTTTGTCCCTCACATAGGATTTCAGAACACTGCTACGAGGGTCTGATTGTTGGTCCCTCACATAGGATTCCTGAACACTGCTGCTGGGCTCTGAATGTTTGTCCCTCACATTGGATTGCAGAACACTACTGCTATGGTCTGAACGTTTGTCTTTCACATAGGATTCCAGAACACTGCGGCTGGGGTCTGAATGTCCCTGACATAGGATTCCAGAACATTGCTATGAGAGTCTGAATGGTTGTCTTTCACATAGCATTCCAGAACACTGCTACGAGGGTCTGAATGTTGGTCCCTCACACAGGATTCCAGAACACTCCTGCTGAGGTCTGAATGTTTGTCCCTCACAAAGGATTCCAGAACACTGCTATGAGGGTCTGAATATTTGTCCCTCACATAGGATTCCAGAACACTCCTGCTGTGGTCTGAATGGTTGTCCCTCACAAAGGATTCCAGAACACTCCTGCTGTGATCTGAATGGTTGTCCCTCACATAAGATTCCGGAACACTTCTGCTGTGGTACGAATGTTTGTGTCTCCTGTAGGATTCCAGTACACTGCTACGAGGGTCTCAATGTTTGTCCTCACATAAGATTCCAGAACACTGCTGCTGGGGTCTGAATGCTTGTCCCTCACATACGATTACAGAACACTGTTGCTGGGGTGTGAATGTTTGTCCCTCACATGGGATTCCAGACCACTGCTGCTGGGGTCTCAATGTCTGTCCCTCAAAAAAGGATTCCAGAACACTGTTACGAGGGTCTGAATTTTTGTTCCTCACTTAAGACTGAAGAACACTGCTTCGAGGGTCTAAATGTCTGTCCTTCACATAGGATTCCAGAACACTGCTACGAGGGTCTGAATGTTTGTCCTTCACATAGCATTTCAGAACTGCCATGGTCTGAATGGTTGTCCCTCACATAGTATTCCAGAACACTGCTATGAGGGTCTGAATGTTTGTACCTCACATAGGATTCCAGAACACTGCTATGAGGGTCTGAATGTTTGTACCTCACATAGGATTCCAGGACACTGCTATGAGTGTTTGAAAGTTTTTCCCTCACATAGGATTCCAGAAGACTGCTGCTGGGGTCTGAATGTCTGTCCCTCACATCGGATTCCAGAACACTGCTGCTGGGGTTTGAATGTCTGTGCCTCACATAGAATTCCAGAAGACTGCTGGGAGGGTCTGAATGTTTGTCCCTCACATACGATTCCAGAACACTGCTACGAGGTTCTGAATGTTTGTCCCTCACATAGGATTCCCGAGCACTCCTGCTGTGGTCTGAATGTTTTTCCCTCACATAGGATTCCAGAACACTGCTACGAGGGTCTGAATGTTTGTCCTTTACATAGGTTTCCAGAACACTCCTTCTGAGGTCTGAATGTTTGTCCCTCACATAGGATTCCAGAGCACTCCTGCTGTGGTCTCAATGTTTTTTTAATCACATAGGATTCCAGAACACTTCTACAAGGGTCTAAATGTTTGTCCCTCACATAGGATTCCAGAATACTCCTGCTATGGTCTTAATGCTTGTCCCTCACATAGGATTCCAGAACATTCATGTTGGGGTCTGAATGTTTGCCCTTATCATAGGATTTCAGAACAGTGCTCCTGGGGTCTGAATGTTTGTCCTTCATATAGGATTTAAGAACACTCCTGCTTTGGTCTGAAAGTTTGTCCCTCACATAGGATTCCAGAACTCTCCTGCTGTGGTCTGAAAGTTTGTCCTTCACGTAGGATTCCAGAACACTGCTGCTGTGGTTTGAATGTTTGTCCCTCACATAAGATTCCAGAACACTGCTACGAGGGTCTGAATGTTTGTCCCTCACATAGGATTCCTGAGCATTGTTGCCGTGGTCTGAATGTTTGTCATTCACATAGGATTCCAGAACAGTGCTACGAGGGTCTGAATGTTTGTCCCTCACATAGGATTCCAGAACACTTCTGCTGGTGTCTGAATGTTTGTACCTCACATAGGATTCCAGAACACTGCTGCTGGGGTCTGAACGTCTGTCCCTCACATAGGATTCTAGAACACTGCTGTTGGGGTTTGAATGTCTGTCCCTCACATAGAATTCCAGAACACTGCTGCGAGTGTCTGAATGTTTGTCCCACAGATGGGATTCTAGAACACTGCTGCGAGGGTCTAAATGTCTGTCCCTGACATAACATTCCAGCACACTGCTACAAGGTTTTGAAATGTTTGTCCCTCACATAGGATTCCAGAGCACTCCTGCTGTGGTCTGAATGTTTGTCCCTCACATAGGATTCCAGAACACTCCTGCTGTGGTCTGAATGTTTGCCCCTCACATAGGATTCCAGAACATTCCTGCTGTGGTCTGATTGTTCTTCATATAGGATTCCAGAACACTGCTACGAGGTTCTGAATTTTTGCCCCTCACATAGGATTGCAGAACACTGCTACAAGGGTTTGAAAGTTTTCCCCTCACATAGGATTCCACAACACTACTGCTGGGGTCTGAATGTTTGTCCCTCACATAGGATTCCCGAGCACTCCTGCTGTGGTCTGAATGTTTTTCCCTCACATAGGATTCCTGAAGACTGCTGCTGTCACTATAGTCGTTGCGAGTGTCTGAATGTTTGACCTTCACCAAACACTAAATATTCTGCCCCTTTAGTCTTGGACTTTCCAGCCTCCAGATCTGTGAGCAATAATCTCTGTTGTTTATGAATTACTCAGTCTAAAGTATTTTGTTATAGTAGCCTAAAGAGACTAAGAGAGCATCACCTGCCCTGTCACCTCATCACCGCATTACTAAAGCTATACTAACAGCAGTCACCTTTAGTGGGTGCTTCATGCATGAGAATAAAGGGAAAAAATTGCAAGGCATACTAAAATCCAAAAAAAGAAAAAAATACAATTTGTGTCAACAGAGCAAGCTTCAGAAGCAGACAAAGTTATGATTTTGGAAATTTTTTTAAACCTCTGGAGAATATGCTAAGGGTCTAATGAATGAAGTAGACAGCATTCAAGTGTAGATGGGTAATGTAATCAGAAAGACAGACATCGTAAGAAACTTCAACATAATGTAGTGGTAAAAAATGTGTTAAATAACTGAAGAATACCTCTGATGGCTTATTAGTAGACTGGACTCAGCTGAGTAAAGAATCTCTGAGCTTGAGGATTTATCATCAGAAACTTCGAAAACTAAAGAAAAGAAACACTGAAAAGAACAGAAGATGATATCCAAGACTGTGGGACAACTACAAAAGGTGAAACAGAGTAATGAGAATACCAGGAGGAGAAGAAATAGAAGAAAGTTTTGCAACAACCATGTCTGAGAACTTCCAGTATTTATGTCAGACACCAAACCAAAGATCCAGGAAGCTCAGAGAACACCAAGCAGAATAAATGCCAACAACCTACACTTGGACATATAATTTTCAAACTATATGAAATAAAAGATAAAGGAAAACTCTGAAAGAAACCAGAGGTGGGGCAGAAAACACCTTACCTACAGAGACACAAAGATAAGAACTGCATTCAACATTGCAGAAACTGTGAAAGCAAGAAGACAGTGAAATGAAAAATTCAAAATGTTGACAGAAAAAAACCCACCAACCTAAGTTTCTGTACCCACTGAAACCACCCTTCAAAAGTGAAGGAGAATTAAGGCCTTCCTCAGAAAAATAAAAATTCAAGAAACTTGTTGCCAGGAGACCTGTCTTGCAAGAAATGTTAAATGAAATTCTTTAGAGGGAAACAAAAGATATATAACTGAAACCTGGATCAACATTTTTTTAAAAAGAGCATTAAAGAATTGTGGTACAATAAAAAGCTATGTATTTATTCTTAATTGATCTGACCAAGAAGTTCATAGACAATAACAAATACACACAGATAGATTATGTATGCTTATACACAATTGAAATGAGTAACACTAATACAAGGAATGGAATGGAAGGATGGGAGGGAGGAATTGTGGTACAATAAAAACATGTATTTATTCATAATTGATCTGACCAATAAGTTTGTAGATAATAATAAATACACACAGATAGATTATGTGTGCTTATACACAAGTGAAATAAGGAACAATAATACAAGGAATGGAATGGAAGGATGGGAGGGAGGAATCAGGTGTTTTCTTTGTTAAGCAGGTAGTCACCCATGAAGTGGGATAGTGTTATCTGAAAGTGGACTTGAATTGGTTGTAAATGTATATTGAGGAATTAGGTGTGTTCTTTTTTAAGCAGGTAGTCTTATTTGTGGGATAGTGGGATAGTGTTATTTGAAAGTGGACTTGAATTTGTTGTAAATGTTACTGAGGAATTAGGTGTTTTGTTTGTTAAGCAGGTACTCTTATTCGTGGGATAGTGGGATAGTGTTATTTGAAAGTGGACTTGAATTGGTTGTAAATGTATATTGCAAATTCTGTGGCAACTAGTTAAAAAAAGTTTTAAAAAGAGAAGTACATGCTAAGAAAGACAGGGAAAATGTAGTCATCTAAAATCATCAATGAAAACTGCAAAAGGCAGAAAAAGAGTGGTAGACAAAAGAATCGAGACTGAGGAGAATGAATAGAAAATAGTAACAAATATAGTAGATATTAATCCAATGATATCAATAATCACTTTGAATGCTAATGGTATGAATGTACCAATTCAAAGATAGAGATTGTCAGAGTCTATCAAAAGACAGATACATCTTGTTTCACTGCACTTTGCTTTATTGTGTTTTGTGACCATGTGTTTTACATATTGAAGGTTTGTGGCCACCCTGCAATAAGCAGGTCTCACTGGCACCATTGTTCCTACAGCAAGTGCTCACTTCACGTCTCTGTGTCACATTTCGGTCATTCTCACAGTATTTTAAGCTTTTTATTATTGAATCTGTTATAGTGATCTGTAATCAGTGATCTTTAATGCTACTGTTGTCATTGTTTTGGGAACCACAAATCACACCAGGATAAGACAGCAAACAATTGACAAATGCGTTTGTTCTGACTGCCCCACCAATGGGCCATTTCTCTTTCTCTCTCTTTTTCTCAGGCTTCTTTTTATTAATATTAAAATGTGGCCAATTAATAACCCTACAATAGCCTCTGTATGTTCAAGTGAAAGAAGAGTTGCATGTCTGTCACTTTAAACCAAAAGGAAGAAATAATTAAGCTTAGTGATGAAGGCATGCTGTAAGCAAGACAGGCCAGTAGCTAGACCTCATGCAACAAACACTTAGCCAAGTTGTGAATGCAAAGGAAGTGTTCTGGAAAGAAATTTAAAGTACTACTCCAGTGAATACATGAATGATAAAAAGATAAACAATCTTGCTGCTGTTATGAAGAAAGTTTAATTGGTCTAGATAGAAGATAAAAAAAAACAAAAAAAAATTCCATTAAGCCTAAGCCTAACTCTCTTTTTACTTTTTTTCTTTGTTTTTGAGACAGAGATTCATTCTTCTTGCCCAAGCTGGAGTACAATGGCGTGATCTTGGCTCATCGCAACCTCTGCCTCCCAAGTTCAAGCCATTCTCCTGCCTCAGCATCCCGAGTAGCTGGGATTACAGGCATGCACCACCATGCCTGGCTAATTTTTTGTATTTTTAGTAGAGACGGGGTTTCTCCACGTTGGTCAGACTGGTGTCGAACTCCTGACCTCAGGTGATCTGCCCGCCTCGGCCTCCCAAAGTGCTAGGATTACAGGTGTGACAGCCACCGCACCCGGCCTCCCTTCAATTCTATGAAGACTTAGAGAGGTGAGGCAGCTGCAGAAGAAAAGTCTGAAGCTAGAAGAGCTTGTTTCTTGAGGTTTAAGGAAAAAAGTCATCTCCATAACATAAAAGCACAACATAAAGCAGCAAGTACTGATGGAAAAGCTGCAGAAAGCTATCTAGAAGATAATTGATTAAGATGGCTACACTAAACAGATTTGCAATGGAGACAAAACAGCCTTCTACTAGAAGGAGATGCCATCCAGGATGTTCCCAGCTAGAGAGGAGTTGATGCCTGGCTTTAAGGCTTCAAAGGACATGCTGACTCTTTTGTTAACGCCTAATGCAATTGGTGATGTTAACTTGAAACCAATGATGATTTACTATTCTGAAAATCCAAGGGCCCTGAAGAATTATGATAAAACACAGCTCTGCCTGTACTCTACAAATGGGAACAAAGCCTGGATGACAGACTATCGGTTTACAAATATGGTTTACTGAATATCTTAAGCCCACTGTCGACAACTACTGCTCAAGAAATAAGATTCCTTTCAAAGTATTACCACTCACTGACAATGCCGCTGGTACTCAAGGACTTTTACAGAGATGTATAAAGAGCTGAATATTGTTTTCATGCCTACTAACACAACATTCATTCTGGTGCCCTTGGATCAAAGAATAATTTCAACTTTCAAGTCTTATCACTTAAAAAATATATTTCATAAAGCTATAGCTTCTCTAGAAAGTGATTCCTTTGATGGATCTGGGCAAAATAATTGAAAACCTACTGGAAAGGATTCACCATTCTAGATGCCATTGAGAACATTCATGATTTAAAAAAGATCAAAATAGCAACATTAGGAGAAGTTGGGGCTGGGCTTGGTGGTTCACGCCTGTAATCCCAGCACTTTGGGAGGCCAAGGCACGTGGGTCACGAGGTCAGGAATTTGAGACCAGCCTGGCCAACATAGTGAAATCCTGTCTGTACTAAAAACACAAAAAAATATTAGCTGGGCCTGGTCGGGGGTGACTGTAATCCCAAACACTTGGGAGGCTGAGGCAGGAGAATTGCTTGAACATGGGAGGTGGAGGTTGCCATGAGCTGAGATCGCATCACTGCACTCCAGCCCAGGCAAGACTTCATCTCAAAAAAAAAAAAAAAAAGAGAGAGAGAGAGAAGTTGGGAAGATAATTCCAACCCTCACAGATGACACAGGGGTTCACGACTTCTGTGGAGGAAGTAACTGCAGATATGGTGGAAATAACAAGAGCACTAGAATCAGAGACAGAGCCTGAAGATCTGGCGAGACTGAAGCAGCCTCTGGAGAAAACGTGAGAGGATGAGTTGCTTCCACGGATGAGCAAAGAAAGTGGTTTCTTGAGATGAAATCTACTCGTGGTGAAGACAGTGTAAACAATGTTGAGATGACAACAGATTTAGAATAAACTTGGTACAACAGAAGGAAGGCTTGACAGGATTGAACCCAATGATTTACAATAATACATAAACTTAGTTGGTACAGCAGTATGAAGGTTTGACAGCATTGAATCCAATTTTGAAAGTTCTACTGTGGGTAAAAAGCTATCATCGTATGCTACAGTTAATTCTTTTGTGAAAGGGAGAGTCACTTGACACAGCAAACTTCAACGTTGTCTTATTTTAAGAAATTGTCACAGCCACCCCAACGCTCAGCAACCACCACCTTACATTAACGTAAGACCCTCCATCAGAAAGAAGACTGAAACTTGGCCAGGTTCAGTGGCTCACACCTGTCATCCCAACACCTTGGGAGGCCAAGGTGGGTGGATTGCTTGAGCCCAGGACGTCAAGGCAACATGGCAAAACCCCATCTCTACAAAAAAAAAAATACAAAAATTAGCTGGACATGGTGGCATGCACCTGTAGTCCCAGCTAGTCAGGAGTCTGAGGTGGGGGTTTGATTGAGCATGAGGTTGAGGCTGCAATTACTCCAGCCTGAGCCACAGAGTAAAACCCTGTCACACACACACAAAAAGATTGCAGCTTTCTGAAGGCTCAGATGACTGTTAGCACTTGTTAACAATAAAGTATTTGTAAATTAAAGTGTGCATACTTTGTAGACATATGCTATTGCACACTTTATACAGCACAGTATAAACATACTTTTACATGCACTGGGAAACCAAAAGAAATTGTATCACACTTTATTGCAGTGGTCTGGAACCAAACCCCCATATATCTCTGATGCATGGCCGTCCTGTATTGTACACTTAAAAAAATACTTAAGAGGGTATATCTTAGGTGAAATGGTCATCTCATTTTTTTTTTTTGAGACGGAGTCACACTCTGTTGCCCAGGCTGGAGTGCAGTGGCACGATCTCGGCTCACTGCAAGCTCTGCCTCCTGAGTTCACACCATTATCCTGCCTCAGTCTCCCGAGTAGCTGGGACTACAGGTGCCCGCCATCACGCCTGGCTAATTTTCTGTATTTTTAGTAGAAACGGGGTTTCACTGTGTTAGCCAGGATGGTCTTGATCTCCTGACCTCGTGATCCACCTGCCTTGGCCTCCCAAAGTGCTGGGATTACAGGCGTGAGCCACCACTCCTGGTCTCATTTTTTAAAAAGGGTGAGAATGAGAAATATATGGGGGGTGATGGTCAAGTTTACGGTATTATTTGTTGTGATGAGTCCTGGGGCGAATATTTATCTCTATACTCATTAAGATGTATATATTCGGTGTCACACGCCTGTAATCCCAGCACTTTGGGAGGCCGAGGCAGGTGGATCATCTGAGGTCAGGCGTTCGAGACCAGCCTGGCCAACATGGTGAAACCCTGTCTCTACTAAAAAAATACAAAAATTAGCCGGGCGTGGGGGTGCACGCCTGTGATCCCAGCTACTCAGGAGGCTGAGGCAGGAGAATTGCTTGAACCTGGGAGGCGGAGGTGGCAGTTAGCTGAGATCGTGTCACTGCACTCCAGCCTGGGCAACATGAGTAAAACCTCCATAACACACACACACACACACACACACACACACACACACACACACACACACACACACACGGTATATATTAAATATGTGTAATTTTTGTATGTCAACCACACCTTAGTTTTATTTTATTTTTTTTTTTTGAGACAGAGTCTCACTCTGTCACCCAGGCTGGAGTCCAGTGGTGCAATCTTGGCTCACTGCAAGCTCCACCTCCCAGGTTCACACCATTCTCCTGCCTCAACCTCCAGAGTAGCTGGAACTACAGGCACCTGCCACCACGCCCGGCTAATTTTTTGTATTTTTAGTAGAGATGGCGTTTCACAGTGTTAGCCCGGATGGTCTCGATCTCCTGACGTGATCTGCCTGCCTCAGCTTCCCAAAGTGCTGCGATTACAGGTGTGAGACACCGCGCCCAGACAATTTTTATTTTTTTGAGACAGAGCCTCACTCTGTCACCCAGGCTGGAGTGCAGTGGCACTATCTTGGCTCACTGCAACCTCTGCTTCCCATGTTCAAGCAATTCTCCTGCCTCAGTCTCCCGAGTAGCTGGGACTACAGATGCATGCTATCACGCCTGGCTAATTTTTTGATTTTTAATAGAGATGAGGTTTCACCATGTTGGCCAGGCTGGTCTCAAACTCCTGACCTCATGTGATCTGCCCACCTCAGCCTCCCAAAGTGCTGGGATTACAGGTGTAAGCCACTGCACCTGGCAATTTTTAAATATATATAATTAAAAATTAATAAAAAACAGGTATTTGCAAGTTTCCATTTTGTTATATGCTTATTATTCTTTATCTTTATGTCAGGTTGCTGTGTCAATACACTTAGGAGATCATAGTTTCTAAATTGAAATACAAATAAATATGTCTGAAATTTTTTCTTTTTTCTTTTTTTTTGAGAGGGACTCTCATTCTGTCACCCAGGCTGGAGTGCAGTGGTGCAATCTCAGCTCACTGCAACCTCCGCCTCCCAGATTCAAGTGATTCTCCAGCCTCAGCCTCCAGAGTAGCTGGGATTACAGGCACCCGCCATGACACCCAGCTAACTTATATATTTTTTTTCTATTTTTAGTAAAGACAGGGTTTCACCATGTTGGCCAGGCTGGTCTCCAACTCCTGACCTCAGATGATCCTCCCGTCTCGGCCTCCTCAAGTGCTGGGATTACAGGTGTGAGCCACTGTGCCTGGCCTGGAATTTTTTTCTAAAATTTACATTTCTGAGTTAAGAATGCTTAAAATATTATAAAAATAGAAGCACAATTCATTATGTGTTTCATTAATTACCTTTATTAAAAACAACAAAATTATATTACAATAGGACAAAAAATGTTTAAGCAAATGAAAATGAAACCATGACATACCCAAACTCAGGAGGAGGCAACAAAGGCAGTGCTAAAGGGAAGCTTACAGCTGCAGATGCTTAAATTAAAAAGAAGAAAGGTCTCAAACCCATGCTAAAGGGAAGCTTACAGCTGCAGATCCTTAAATTAAAAAGAAGAAAGATCTCAAACCCATGCTAAAGGGAAGCTTACAGCTGCAGATGCTTAAATTAAAAAGAAGAAATATCTCAAACCCTTGCTAAAGGGAAGCTTATAGCTGCAGGTGCTTAAATTAAAAAGAAGAAAGATCTCAAATCAATAACCTAACATTACACCTGAAGGGGGGAAAAAAAACTAATGACAAACCAAGCAAAAGGAAGAAAATAACAGATTAGAGCAGAGATAAGCAGAATAAGACCAGAAAAAAAAGGAAAAAAACAATGAGTTTGTTTTTTTTAAAGATCAATAAAAATTTTAAAACTCACAGCTATATTAAGAAAAAAAGAGAAATCTCAAATACTAAAATCATAAATAAAATAGGTGACAGTACAACAGATGCCACAGAAATGAAAAAGATTACAAGAGACTAATGTGAGCAACCATATGCCACAAAACTGGGCAACCTAGAATAAATTTATAAATTCCTAGAAACACAAACCACCATACTGCATCACGGAGAAATAAAAAATCCAAAGAGACCTTTAACTAGTAAGAAGATTCAACCAGTAATCAAAAACCCCACCAAAAAGAAAAGTCCAGGTCCAGATAACTTCACTGGAAAATTTTACCGAACATTTCAAGAAGAATTAATGCCAATCCTCTGCAAAATATTCCAAAAATGTTCAAAAACCAGAAGGGGACATTCCAATCCATTCTATCAGGTCAACATTTATCTGGTTCCAGAGCCAGATGAACACCTTTTGTAATAAAAACACTCAAAGAATTAGTAATATATGGAAACTCCTCAGTAAATAAAGATTATACATGAAAAGCTCACAGCTAACATCATACTCAATGGTGAAAGACTAAAATCTTTTCCTCTAGGATCAGGAATAAGATAGCAACATCTCTTCCTTCCACTTCTATTCATCACAGTACTGGAATTTCTACTCAGAATAATTAGTCAAGAGAAAGTAATAAAAAGGATGCAAATTGGAAAGGAAAAAGTACAAAATTTTGTTCACAGACAACAGGATGTAATGGGTAAAAATCCTGAAATTCCCAAAATATTGGTAAAATAATGAAATTCAACAAAGTTTCAGGATACAGTAACACACACAAGTCAGTTGCATTTCCATAAACTAACAATGAACAATCTGCAAATAAAATTTTAAAAAGAGAGGCCAGGTGCAGTGGCTCACACTTATAATCCCAGCACTTTGGGAGGCCAAGGCGGGTAGACCACCTGAGGTCAGGAGTTCGTGACCAGCTGGGCCAAACCCATCTCTAAAATAAATAGTAAAGCTCTGTCTCTATTAAAAATACAAAAATTAGCTGGGCGTAGTGGCAGACACCTGTAGTCCCAGCTACTTGGGAGGCTGAGGCAGGAGAATTGCTTGAACTTGGAAGGTGGAGGTTGCAGTCAGCTGAGATTGTGCCACTGCGCTCCAGCTTAGGAAACTGAGACGCCATCTCAAAGAAAAGAAAAAAGGAAAGAAAGACAGAGAAAGAAAAGAAAAGAAAGATAAAACAAAAGAAAATAAATTTTTAAAAAGAATGACATTTGGCCGGGTGCAGTGGTTCATGCCTGCAATCCCAGCAGCTTGGGAGGCCGAGGCGGGCAGATCACCTGAGGTCACAAGTTCAAGACTTGCCTGGTCAACATGGAGAAACCCTGTCTCAACTAAAAATACCAAAAAATTAGCTGGACGTGTTGGCGCGCACCTGTGATCCCAGGTACTTGAGAGGCTGAGGTTGGAGAATCGCTTGAATAAAGAAGGTGCAGGTTGCAGTAAGCTGAGATAGTGCCACTGCACTCCAGCCTGGGAGACAGAGCAAGACTCCATCTCAAAAAAAAAAAAGTATTACATTTACAACAGCATTATAAAAATTAAAAATAAGCTTAACCAAAAGGGCAAAAAAGATTTGAACACAGAAAACTACAAAACACTGTTGAAAGAAATTAAACACAAATAAATGAAAAGAAAAGCTGTGTTTGCAGATTAGATGATTTCATCTTGGAATGATGTCAACACTACTTGAGGTGACCTAGATTCAATACAATCCTTATAAAGATTCCAATGACATTTTTGATAAACAGAAAAACCTATCCTAAAATTCATATGGAATCTCCAGGGCCCATGAATAGGCAAATCAATCTTGAAGCAGAACAAAATTAAAGGTCTCAAAACAATTACAAAACTGCAATAAGCCAAAAAAAAAGTGGTCATGGCGTAAAGACATACTTGACACACTTATGGACCAACACAACAGAGACCTCAGAAACCAACCCTGGCATATATGGTCTGATGATCTTCCACAAGGATGCCAAGACCACTCAATGGCGAAGGACAGTTTCTTCAACAAATGGTGTTGGGAAAATTGTATATCTACATGCAAAATAATGAAGTTGGACTCTTACCTTACACCACGTTAAAATTAATTCAAAGTGAATTATAAACCTAATTGTAAAACTAGAACTATCAAACTCCTAGGGAAAACAAATTTGGAAAATGCTTTATGATGATGAATTTGTCAACAATTTTTAAGATATGACATTAAAAGCTCAGGCAGTAAAAGCAAAAATATATCAAACCTAAAAACTTCTGTACCACAAAGGTCACAACCAACAGGGTAAAAGGCAAACTGTAGAATAAAAGAAAATACCAGTTGAGTGTCCCTTATTTGAAATGCTTGGGATGTGTTTCAGATTTTGTAATATTTGCACTATTCTTACTGGTTGAGCATCTCGAATTCAAACACCTGAGTCTGCGATGCTCCAATAAGCATTTCCTTTGAGTGTCATGTTGGCACTCAAAAAGTTTCAGACTTTGGAGCATTTGGGATTTCAGATTTTTGGATCACAGACATTCAACCTATAGTTGCACATCATGTATCTCATAAGAAGTGAACATTCAGAATACGTAAAGTACTCCTACAGAGAGACTACCAGAAGCAGAGAGGAGCAAACACATTTTCAAACTAGGGCACCTCCTATCTCTCCCGGATTCCAATTAGGGCAGAGTAAGTGCTAGTTATCTGCCAACCCAGGATTAGGCCCTGCAGCTGCAGTGAAAATAATCACAGAAGAAAACTAAGAACTAAAAAATGGAGAAAGTGAGACATCAAACTAAAATTACTAGAAACCCCCAGGAAGAAGGAAAAAGAAACCAAGAAAACAGAAAAACAATTAAACCAGTTAATTAAACCTTGGCATGACCAGAAGATCAGAGTTTCCTAAAGGAGTGGAAATTCATTGATTTGAAGAGGATTTATTGATTACTGATTTGAAGAGGAAGAAAAACCATGAATGGTCTGAAGCAAAAGCCTAGTGTCTGAAGAAGTCAGTAGGGTGAAAACAAGAGCTGGCCAGAATATCCACAGATGGTGACAAGTTGGCAAAGCCTTTACTAGACTACTCGTGAGGCTAACTAGAGGCCAAGGAGCCAACACTGCTCCTGTCCTTACAGAGAGACCCTACACAGGATTCCCAGATATACATGGAAGGACAACATCTTATCAGGTCTTCTCTGTGCAGATGTGGTTATCATTCCAAATAATGAGCTCCAGCACCAAGACTGTTCCATCCTCAATTGCTTTGAGTGGGCAATGTAGGCTCTCCACACACGAGCTACATGTAGGTTCCTTGGGTACCCAGATGGGAGCCATGAAACACAAACCCTCCATGGTCAGGTCTGTATTTGTTTCCTGCCTTTTTCCCAGCAATCCCCAGGCCCCAGCAGTGGTGGTCTACCTCTGCTGATTCTCATTCAGAATCTAAACTTAGAAACAATTATAACCTAGACCCCAATTCTACCTGAAAGTAACAGAATAACATAATCTATACCCTGCAGCATGACTGTTTGCCCAACGTAATGAGGATGAACTGAGAGATAATGAATCATCATGACCCTGGCCCAAGTAATGAGAATGAACTGTGAGATAAATGAATGATCATGACAAAAACCCCACTACAACCCAACAACAAAATAAAGTGATTAAAAAATGGACAAACAACATTTATCCAAAGATGCAAAGATGATATACAAATAGCCAAGAGATACATGAGATATATGAGAAGATGTGTAACATCACTAGTCATTAGAGAAATGCAAAAAGAAACCACAATGGGACATCACTTCAAACCCAACAGAAAGTAACAAGCGCAGGTGAAACTGAAACCCTTGAACACTGTTGGTGGAAATATGAACTGGCTCCTCAAAAAAAAAATAAAATAAAATGACCATATGATCCAGCCATCCAACTACTACAGAGACAGAATAACTAGTAGCAGGACCTCAAACAGATATGTGCACACCTAAGTTCACAGCAGCATTACACAGCCACAAGGTGGAAGAAACCAAAACGTCCATCCAGAAATAGGTGGATAAACAAAAGCATATATATACATGATATATATTATATATATATTATATATGTAATATATATATAATATATATATGAAGAAATATTATTCAGCCATAGAAAGGAAGAAAATTGTGACACATCTGACACATAACATGGAACCTACTTACAAAACAACAAATATTATATAACCCTAGGGATATAAGCCAAATTTTTAGAAACACAAAGTAGAATAGTACTTGCCAGGAGGTGGAAGGAGGGGGAAATTAATAGTTGTTGAATGGGTATAGAGTTTTCCAAGATAAAAAAAAATCTAGAAATCTGCTACACAACACTGTAAATATTCTTAACTCTACAAAACTGTATACTTACAACTGGTTACGATGGTAAATTTTAAGGTATGTGTTTGTTACCAAAATTCTAAATAATAAATTATTTATAAAAAATGATCTTTTTTGACACAGGGTCTTACTCTGTTGCCCTGGCAGGAGTGCAATGGCATGATCACAGCTCATTGCAGCCTCAACCTCCCAGGCTCAAGCAACCCTCCCACCTCAGCCTCCCGAATAGTTGGGACTACAGGTGCACACCAAGATGTCAGGCTAAATTTTGGTTTAGTTTTTTTGTAGAGAGGGTTTTGCCATGATGCCCAGGCTGGTCTCAATCTCCTGGGCTCAAGCAATCCACCTCCCTTGGACTCCCACAGAGCTGAGATTACGAGCATAAGCCACCATGCCCAGCCTATAAAAAATTATTTCAAAAAGCCAAAATATTAATCAAACTGGAATATTTAGAAATATTTAACCCAAAAGAAGTTAGGAAAGAATATATAGAAGATCAAAACACAGATGAAGGCCAGACATGGTGGCTCATGCCTGTAATCCAAACACTTTGGGAGGCCAAGGTGGGTAGATTGCTTGAGCTCAGGAGTTCAAGACCAGCCTGTGCAACATGGCAAAACCCTATCTCTACAAAAAATATAAAAATTAGCCAGGTGTGTTTCCATGCGCCTGTAGTCCCAGCTACTCAGTGAGGATTGGTTGGGCCTGGGAGGCAGAGGTTGCAGTGAGCCAACATTGCACCATTGCACTACAGTCTCGGTGACAGAGCAAGACCCTGTCTTAAAAAAAAAAAAAAAAAATAGAAAATAAGTAGAAAAATGGCAGACCTAAATCCAACCTTAGCAATGATTAGTTACAATGTAACTGGACAAATACTCTACTTAAGACAGAGACTGCCAGACCTGAGAGGAAAGCAAGACCCAACAATATGGCATCCACAGAGACACAATTTAAATACAGAGACACAAAATATGAGAAAAAATATGCTTTGCAGACACTAATCATAAAAATATGCTATCCAGACACTAATCATAAAAAGCTTCAACGGAGATGTTAACACTAGATGAAAGAGGCTCCAGAACAAAATATATCACCAGAAATAAACAAGGTAATTTCATAAAAATAAAAGAATCAGAGAGGATGATGTTACAATTATAAATTGTGCCTCAAAGTGCACACAAAGTACTCACACACACAGAGCCTCAAATTATGTGAATCAAAAACAACAGAACAAAAGCAGGAAATTGACAATCCAAAATTATAGCTGGTGAATTAATACTGCTCTCTCAGTAACTGATGGAACAACCAGATAAAAATATAGGAAAAATACGGATCTAAATGACAAAATCCTGACCCAAATGGTACTTGGCAGTACCAAGATAGACTGTATGTCGATCAATTGAGAAAATGTTCAAGCATGACATAGTATACAAAGTATGTTGTCTGAACACCTGAAATTAAATTAGAAACCAACAACAAATTGATATCCAGAAAAGCCTCAAATGTCTGAAAACCAAGTAATAAACTTTGAAATACCCTGGGAGTCAAAAAAGTATTCACAAGGGGAACTGGAATGTATTTGGAACAAACTTGTTATAAAAATCATATTTCTGGTAGACTAAAGGTGACAACTTCTTTCCTGCTCCTCTCTCTGTGAGAACCAATTCCCCTTAAACCTTGCCCAGACTACTAACTTGCTTGGCCAACAGAAGGTGACAAAGGTGGTATTTGGGGACTTCAGAAGCCAGGCTGAGAAAACAGAACACTTATCCAGGAGAAAGCCAGTCACCAGGCAGGAAATCCCACTCCCCTGAGACCCCATGATGGAAACCACATGGCCAGTCCATGACTAGCTACATGCATTGACATCCCCCACTGACCCTCCAGCAACACCGACTCCCAACCACTAGTGAGCCTTCAGCAACATCCACTCCCAACCACTAGTGAGCCACCCTGCACACCACCCCACTGTGCTTTCACACAACCCAGCTTGGCTGCAACTGTGTGTGAGATGAGCTGGCCACCAAGACTCTCTAAGCCAAAAAACAAGTAATAATGAGTTGTTTTAAGCTGCCAAGTTTTGGGGATGGTTTCTTCAGAATAGATAACTGGAACAGAATATGGTAGCTGGAAATGAGCCGCTGTGGTAATCAGAAGCTACAATATGTGCCACGACTGTGAGGCTGACCTGTAACTGGGCCTCAAGGAGACCATTCATTCAACCTGGAAGGGCATCAAGACTCTTGGTCAGGGCCTGAAGGACGGTGAGAAAATGTCATTGGAAACTGGGGAAAAGGCCTGAGAGTTATGTGCTGAGGGACTGTGAGAAAACTATGGCCACAACATGGAAACTGAAAGGGCACTGCACCATCTCAGGGATCTGCCTAAGGAGACATCTGGGAAGAACATGGAAAGTGCTACCAGCCTACCCTAACTGTCATTGAATAAATATGACAGGAGAGGGACATGATCTAAAGAAGGAAGTTCAGTTTTCAAACAAAATTTAGAGAAAATATAAAGAAATAATTTCTTGTCTCAAAAGGCCAAAGAAAAAAAAAAGAAAAGGAAAAAAAATTAAAAAGAAGCCATTGAATACCCTATTGACCATAAGAAAAAGGCAGAGAAAGTTGGTCAACGGCAACCCAGGCACTGAAGGAAAAAGAAAATGGAGAATGACAAAAGCCCAGAGGGAGGAGTAAAAGGACACAAACGCCGTTCTCAGGGACAAGGACTGGGCGCCGTTCTCAGGGACCCGGACTGGGCACTAATCACAGAACTGTAACAGGCGCCCCATGGGAATGACCAACTGTTAGACGGGGCCTGCAGGGCAGCACCTCCCTCCTGCCTCCCACCAACAGCTTCTAAAGGGAAATGCCGACTGTTTTCACACCAGTCCCCTCACTGCGGCTGAGTGTGTGGGCACAGATGATAGGTCACAGCAACCTGATTCAGTCCTTACTGTGGCTGAGTGCGTCAGGGGCAGATGACAGGCCACCACAACCTGATTCAGTCCTCACTGTGGCTGTGTGTGGGGGGGCAGATGACATGCCACCACAATTTG
The DNA here is from genome assembly GCF_000001405.40 of Homo sapiens. NCBI lineage: Eukaryota > Metazoa > Chordata > Mammalia > Primates > Hominidae > Homo > Homo sapiens. The sequence continues at coordinate 101,462 of NT_113888.1, forward strand.
ATTCAGTCCTCACTGCGGCTGAGTGTGTGTGGGCGCAGGTGACAGGCCACCACAACCTGAATCAGGATTCAGTTGGGCTACCAGCCAGTGCCATAAGGAAAACCATTCTGGGACTCTTGAGAGGGGCAAAGAATAATTTGCATGTGAGAGAAACGTTAATAGTTTGTGGCCAGAGGACAAACTGTGGTTTATTAAAGACTGCTGCAGGTTCCTACTATGCTTCTCATCAAGAGGTGGAATCTAATCACCTTCCCCCCTTGAATCATGTCTGGTCTCAGTGATGAGTATGACTGGACAGTGTGGCAGGAGAGATGCTCTGGGACTTCTGAGGGATGATCATGAGAGACCTTACAGCTTCTGCCTGGGCCTCTTGGACACACACCCTGGGAGAAGCCAGACAAACCTGACTACCTGACACTGCCAGACTGGGAGGAAGTCCGTGCTGGCCACAAAGAGAGGGCTCGGTGCCTGCTCCATGTCCCCAGCCACTAGAGTCCTTCTGGGTGCCTGCTTCACGTCCCCAGCCACTAGAGTCCTCCCAGATGAGACCAGGGACATCATGAAGCAGCCAACCCACATTGCCCTGTCCAGTGTCTTGACCCAGAAAATTGTGACATGTAAAAAGAATAAATTCCTGGTTTAAGCCAGTAAGGTTACTGGTACATTGTTACATTGCAGATAATTAAAACCTTGAAAAACTCATGAGAGATCCCAAGTAAAACCTTGATCTGAAACATGGCATGTGGCGATTTATATTGAGTATTAGGTTAAAAATGCAAGAATGGAGCATAGTTAATATTTTACGTTAAAGCTAAAACTATAATTGCCCACTTAAAATTTTCAGTTTATTAGGTTGTCACTTTTTGTTCTTAGCCAAGAAATCAACTAGTTTTAGTCCATAAACAGTTGGAACTGATGCACACATCCGTTTTTCCTTACTCATTTTAAGCAGCTATCTGAAATAGGAAGCATAATATAATCTTTAAAGAATCTGAAAATATGACAGAAATGTTTAAACTATAAACATATATTGTAAATGTTAGCATATTATATACATTGCATATTAACATAAGCTAAAATCATTGACATAAATTTATATAAAAAAAGGTAGAAAATATGACAATGTTCTTCTTGTTTTTTGTCTTTGCATATTTCTTTATTGGCCCTTGTCAAATGTGACCCACTAACTCCTGAATGCTTTCTCTCTCCCCATGGATTCCTAAGGATGTCACCACTGTGCTGGCCAGATGCAGAGATCACAGGTGACTGAACCTCATCACCCCACAAACACACCCTTCAGGTTTTGCCAAGAATGACACTGTAAATATAACAAAGCTTCTGTGCTTGTTAGTGAACACCAACTCAGCTTCTCTCCTGTATTCGGAAATCAGGATGAGATGAAAACAACAAGCAGGCCAGGCACGGTGGCTCACGTCTGTAATCCCAGCACTTTGGGAGGCCGAGGCGGGCGGATCACCTGAGGTCGGGAGTTCGAGACCACCCTGATCAAAACAGAGAAACCCCATCTCTACTAAAAATACAAAATTAGCCGGGCGTGGTGGCACATGCCTGTAATACCAGCTACTCAGGAGCTGAGGCAGGAGAATTGCTTGAACCCAGGAGGTGGAGGCTGCAGTGAGCTGAGATCACACCACTGCGCTCTAGCCTGGGCAACAAGAGCGAAACTCTGTCTCAAAAGAAAAAAAATAAAAATAAAAGAACAAGGAAACAAAAGTAACAAGGCTTGACACCACATGAGCCTGAATGTAAGCAAGAAAAGCCCAGAAGAAATCCCATTTTGGGTCACTGGCTGCATGGTAGTAATGCCATACACATAAGGGAAGAGAAGAGGATGTGGCTTTCACTTCAAATTTTTTGAGCTTAAGGTAAATTTGGATAGCTACAAAGAAGCATTCAACAGAGAGTTAAACCTATGATGGAAAGACTGAAGAGGTCCAAGCTGTAGAGAAACAGGACTGCAAACCACAAAGGGCTGAATCAGTCAAGGAGAACTGCAGGGCAAGATGAACAGGGACCAGTGGAACATTTGGATAAGCTGTTGAGAAGAAAGGAGAATTCAGAGACAAAGAACTGTCAGTGAGGTCATAATAGGAACTGTTACAGTGAACTAAATATGGCCTGGGAAGGACTCTGTACTTCTAGATTTGAGTCCCTGTGGACAAAGTGCAACCTAACTTAATAGGTAGAAAGACTGAAAACCTAACTTAGGAGTATGTGCCTAAAACAGTAGCTGAGTCCTGGCCAATCCCAACAGCCAAACTTCTGCCACTCACACACTGCTGAGTGTTCAGTTGTGTTCAAATAAGGCAAATGCTGAGCACTGTAACCAGTCCAGTTGTTTCTGGACCTCACTGCTGAGAACTGTAATGGACCCAGTTGCTTCTAGACCTCACTCCTCACTTCAGATTTTTGTACAACATGTTCCCTTTATTGTCTATAAATCTTCCACCATGTGTCTGTGCTGGAGTCTCACTGAATCTGCTGTGATTCTGGGGGCTGCCTGATTCGTGAATCATTCATTGCTCAATTAAGTTCCTTTAAATTTAATTCAGCTGAAGATTTTCTTTTAATAGATGGTGTCAGAAGTGGGATCTGTGGGAGCAGGACTGCTAGGGCCTCTGGAGCTATACTGTGGTGAGCAGTGTTGCTAAGGCTTCTAATGACCCCCAGAGTGCTGAGGTACAAGGAAGGAACCTGAAAGGACCCGTTTGTGATGGCAGCAGTGGCCCACGTGGAGCAGTTGCTATGGAGACACTGGCTGCAGTGGGGAGGAGTGGCTGGGGCTGTGCACTCCTCAAAGCTGGTGGGAGCCAGGAATGGGTGGGAGACCTGCCCCTTCTAAATTATCAGGCAGGAGCCCCGCCCTCCCAGGCACAGCTGCAGCCATCCAGCCATGACTGCAAACCCGGGCATCTCTGCACTCTCAGAGGCCCAGCAAGCCCCCCTGCCCCGCAGGCTCAGTTGTACCTGGTCCTGCCACCTGGCGTCTCTCTGCTTCCAGAGCCCACTCCAAATTCGGATCCAAGTTGAGGCCAAACCCGGGCACAGTCACAACCCGGCCCAGTTTGTGCAAGCTCAGGGCAGTGCTGACATGCCAGCCCACTGCCACCTCGGCCCCCTCCAGACTTTGGGCACTGGCAAGCACAGGAGGGAGGCTGAGGTGGGGCTAAGAGTGGCTCAGCAGTGGCCGGAAGGCCCTCCTCATCTCAAACGCCTGGGCACTATGGGCACAGCTACCCACCATGCGTCTCCTCTCAGCTGCTGAGAGCTGAACAGACGTTGGGATGACCTGCCTGAAGAAAGGAGCTACCCACTGCAGGTCTCCTCTGAGCTGTACTGGGGCTCAATAAAGCACCTCTTCACCTTGTTCACCTTCTACTTGTCCACATACCTCATTTTTCCTGGACTCAGGACAAGAACTCGGGACCTGCCAACTAGCAGGGCTGAAAGAGGTGTAACATAAACAGGGCTGAAACGTGCTCCTTGCTTGCCAAATTGCAGGCAAGAAGAAGAGAAGAGAGAAGGAGAGAAGAGCTGTGTCCCTTCAGGGAACACAGACCTAGGAGCTCCCCCAGCCAGGGCTGTGACACCTTCTTTGGGGCTCTGCAGGTCCTGCATCTCCAAGCTTCTGGGTGCCACTGCATTCCCTGATACCCACAGTGGAAGCTGTTTGCAGTCGGCCTGGTCCAGCTGCAGCCTCACAGGGAGCTGGCATCTGTGCCTGGAGCTGCCCACCCCACTGCAGCTGGCATGCTTGGCTGTGTGCAGTGGCCAGATCCCATGCTCGCTTGCTCACACACCCCTCACTGCTCTGTACCCAGCTCGCCCTTGGCAGGTGTGGGATCCAGACCACTAGCATGAGCTGAGTGGACAGAACTAACCCAGTGGGCCCAAGCAAAACACAGGTAAAGGCTCCACCAGCCAGAGGTTTCAGTCAGAAAAGTGACACCTCAGGATTCTGTAACACTTGTGTCCTTTGATCTCTTGGAGCAGCTGGGGATCATGGTAAATTTTCTCTCGGATTTCAGAGCTCCATGGATTTGTGTTTTGAGCTCTGAGTTTCTTTGAGCAAATTTCTGTTCCAAACTGCTATCCAGCCATGACTGGCTGGATGTTTTAGAAGTTATGACAGAAAAGGGACTGGGTCCAGGATCAGATTTGATCCAGTAGTTAACTGGCTTGAATCCAGTTCCAGTTAGAGGCCTCCTACATCTGACTGGGTCAGAAGGAAAGTGGTAGTAAATGATAATATTGGAAGGTTGTAACATTTGGCTTTTGAAAATTCACAGGGATTTTTGTGTTCTACCCCTTTGTTTCATTTTTCTCGCATGCTTAGGCAGGAAAAAAAATCATTGGCTAAGTTAATGAAGGGAACCTGGGAGTAAAGCCAATATTTTAGGTAAAAATAGGATCCTTAATTTCTGGAAAACTAAGCTCCTTCTGGCTAATACATTAGGCCTGGGAAGCAGCAAAGTCTTACAGAAATGGCAAAATCTTATTAAGATAACTTACAGTGGAACATTCCAAATGAATAATGCCCTGAAGTGCATTTAAAAATGAGGGCTCCCAAATTAGTCTCATCTAGGGATGCCTATTAATATGCAGAAGCTTCTAAAAAGATTTAGAGATGGCACGACCCATCTGGGAGCAAGTTTGAGTCTTACCAGTTTGATACTCGGTGCTGAGCAAAGTGGCACGTGTCTATGTTTTGTCACATGTATTTTGCTCTGGGCAGAATGAAAAATGTTAATTTGGTTACTCCAAGCAACCCCTTGGGCAGCATCTTGCAAAGCTGAGTGGATTATTCCTGTGATTCCATGATTTTCCATTGTGATGCAGCTTGGCCCCCAGAGCTATAATGTGGTGAGGAGGGTGACAGAGCAAGATGCAATCTTTAAAAAAAAAAAATGGCCAGGTGCAGTGGCTCGTGCCTGTAATCCCAACACTTGGGGAGGCTGAGGCAGGTGGATCACCTGAGGTCAGGAGTTCAGGGCCAGCCTGACCAACAAGGAAAAACCCCGTCTCTACTAAAAACACAAAATTAGCTGGGCATGGTGGCACATGCCTCTAATCCCAGCTACTCAGGAGGCTGGGGCAGGAGAATCGCTTGAACCCGGGAGGCAGAGGGTTGCAGTGAACCGAAATCACACCATTGCACTCCAGCCTGGGCAACAAGAGGGAAAATCCATCTCAAAAAAAAAAAAAAAAGAAAGAATAATAGGTTTGTCTATAAGGTTTTATGAAAAAGTAGGTGACATTTGGCTTTCTCTCTTTAAAGAAGATGTTCAGGTAATATTAAAAAATAATGAAAAATTTGTTTGCCTTTTAAATAAACTACCAAAAAAAAAAAAAAAGGAAAAACAAGAGGCAGATCGTTTGTGAAGATAAGTCTTCCCTCTATCAATCAGTAAAGATTTTTGCCCTTTAAAACTTTTTTAAGTCATGATTTTAAGTAAATGAATGACTTACGGTGACCTGGAATTCTATTTCATAACATCAAGTGTTTAAACTTTTAATATATTTAATAGGCTTCCCAAAATCAAATTTCAACTTCAAAATTGTCTTTTCTGACCTCTAACTTTGGGATACTACAGAGGCCCTTGAAGCACCCAAAAGAGAGGTAAACAGGACTATTTAACATGTTAAGTCACATGGGTAGCACTGTCAAAATAAAACATAATGTTGAACCTTCTTCAGGTTATATTTAGTTTATTTCATCAACCCGTTCTAAAATTGTATAGGATTTCTAAAATTCTTTTTTTTTTTTCCCCCGAAACGGAGTCTTGCTCTGTCACCAAGGCTGGAGTACAGTGGCACAATCTCGGCTCACTGCAACCTCCGCCTCCTGGGTTCATGTCATTCTCCTGCTTCAGCCTCCCGAGTAGCTGGGACTACAGGCATCCACCACCATGCCAAGCTAATTTTTGTATTTTTAGTAGAGACGGGGTTTCACCGTGTTAGCCAGGATGTTCTCATCTCTTGACCTCGTGATCCTTCCACCTCGGCCTCCCAAAGTGCTGGGATTACAGGCGTGAGCCACTGCAACTGGCCAGGATTCTAAAATTCTAATATGCCTATATGCTATCTATCATAATTACCTGTTTTGTTTGTTTTGAGACAGAGTTTCGCTCTTGTCACCTAGGCTGGAGTGCAATGGTGTGATCTAGGCTCACTGAAGCCTCCACCTCCTGGGTTCAAGCATTTATCCTGCCTCAGCCTCCCAAGTAGCTGGGATTACAGACAACTGCCACCACATCCGGCTAATTTTTTTTTATTTTTAGTAGAGACAGGGTTTTACCATGTTGGCCAGGCTGGTCTCAAACTCCTGACCTCAGGTGATCCACCTAACTTGGCCTCTCAAAGAGCTGGGATTACAGGAATGAGCCACCACATCCACCCTAATTATGGTTATTAAGTTATTGTAGACCACAGAAATAACCAAATTTCCTTATCAATTGTCTTTAACTATAACTATTTAAAGTCATTTCCACAGTTAATTGCTTAATGGTGATGCAGTTTCTAAAAACTTCACAAGCATGCAAAATTCTAGAATAGAAGATTCATGAAAGAATGAAAAGGACCATGAAAAACACTCGGGAACACAGGTTTCTAATAACTTTAATATCATGGGTAAAAATTCCCCATAAGTTCCCCGATCCCCCAATAATTGGACTGGTTAAGAATTCTCAAAAGTTAGGCTGGGTGCAGTGGCTCATGTTGGCAATCCCAGCACTTTGGGAGGCTGAGGCCGGTGGATCACTTGAGGTCAGGAGTTTGAGACCAGCCTGGCCAATGGTGAAACCCCGCCTCTACTAAAACTACAAAAATTAGCCGGGTGTGGTGGTATGCATCTGTAATCCCAGCTACTCGGGAGGCTGAGGCAGGAGAATCACTTGAACCCAGGAGGCGGGGGTTGCAGTGAGCCAAGATTGTGCCACTGCACTCCAACCTAGGTAACAGAGTGAGACTCTGTCTCAAAAAAAAAAAAAAATCCTAAAGTTTAATAAGAAGACCAACTGGTTTATAAAACTGCTAACCCAAGTAAAACAAAAATTGAATATCAAGGAAATATTTTGCCAGATTCGCATGCTAAATCACCAATATTGAAATTGTTTAGATATATAATTTAAATAAACTCCATGGTCTAAGCCAAATTACCTATAACTCATCAGTTACCAGTGCCATGCACCTAATTTGAAGAAACAGCTGGTATTCAAGAGGATGTAAGTCTAACGTTAATTAAGCACGGACTTATGAAGAACCAGGATGGCCACCTTTCCGTCTTAAGTCCTTAAAACTTTTGTTATTAAAAGTTCTGCATTCCATAACTCATCATGGAAAGAGAAAATGATCCAAATTAAATATATTGCTGTGGTGATCTCTAAATTGCTAAAATAGTTTATAATCAATGTTTGGTTTGTTGAACCTATATTCCTAGGAAAACAATCAAAACTTCAGGTACATTTGGTTACCTGATGGGCCATTTAAACATTTTATAAAGGGATTTCATTCAGTTGTCATTTTCAGTGCATGTTTTCTGATTGTAAAAAAGCTCTTCCATGCAAGAGGGTTGATGTTAAAACAGTAGATTATTATGCTGAAGTGTATTTTCACCAGCTAAAGAAAGCCTTTTATGGTTCACAGAGGACAGCCAACCCCTTCACAATCTAGAATCTGATGACTGGATCTTCTGAGAACATCAGAGGACTGCCCTTGCCATTCACATGACAGCAAAACTTTAAAACCTTAAACTTTGGGTTCATAGTCTTACAACTCAGAAGGGTCCCTCCACACTCGGAACCATACACCCCTTGGAACCCTTAAGGTAAAGCTAACAAGGACAGTTCCCCCCAGAAGAAGATGGCATCCTTAATGTGAACAGCTTTTCCTAAGATCACAGATCAAGACTTCTCTACTATCATGAGACTCTTATCTTAAGTATCTGTGCAGCTGCTAACATGGCATATGGAGAAAACATCGGGTATTATAAAGATTTGGTTGTAGGGAATTAACAAAAAAACCCACTTAGTTAAGCAAGTAAACTCTTTATCTAATTCATTCTTTAATCTATTTGATTTTAGGTGGTTTGATTTATGGGGACCCTGAGTAAGGAGCATATACCAAATTCTTGGTGTTATCCCAATAGTCATAAGAGTCTCCCTGGTGCACTGTACTTACTCAAATGTTTTAAGAGTTTGCATACAGCCATCTGTAAAATGTCAAATGGTATCTCTTCAACTGGAATGACAACAGATTAAAAAAAATGTGCAACCATAAGGACACCGTAACCTATGAGTGACATGCTAAACCAGAAACCCAAAACAATGGGAGTGACATGCTAAACCAGAAACCCAAAACAATGGGACTGATGTACTAAAACCGGAACCCAAAACAATGGGAGTGATGTACTAAAACCAGAACCCAAAACAATGGAAGTGACGTGCTAAACCAGAAACCCAAAACAATGGGAGTAACATGCTAAAACCAGAACCCAAAACAATGGGAGTGACGTGCTAAAACCATTACCCAAAACAATGGGAGTGATGTGCTAAACCGGAAACCCAAAACAATGGTAACTAAGAGTGAGGCTAAGGCCCTACATTTTGGTCACACTCTCAACTAAGTGAGAACTTGACTGAAAAGGAGGATTTTTTTTTTCTGAGACAGAGTCTTGCTCTGTCCCCCAGAGTGGAGTGCAGTGGCATGATCTCGGCTCACTGCAAGCTCTGCCTCCTGGGTTCAGGCCATTCTCCTGCCTCAGCCTCCTGAGTAGCTGGGACTACAGGCACCCGCCAGCATGCTTGGCTATTTTTTTGTGTATTTAGTAGAGATGAGGTTTCACCGTATTAGCAAGGATGGTCTCAATCTCCTGATCTCGTGATCTGCCCACCTCGGCCTCCCAAAGTGCTGGGATTACAGGCATGAGCCACCGTGCCCAGCCAAAAGGAGGAATTTTTTAAGCAAAATTATGGGAGGCCATTGTTTTGAACTAAGCTCATGCAATAGGTCCCAAAAGAACAAACCAAACCAAAATGGAGTCACTCATGCTAAATGGAACATAATCAAACTAAGACTTTAAGGAAACACATAAATCCTAGAACAAACCAGGTTTTGTTTTTCTCCTGTAAACAGGATGTTCCAGCATAAGAAGACACCTTCTACTCAAGTCCTTGTTCCACCTTTTCAAATCTCACTGTTCTATTTCCCAGTGGGTTTCTAAACCAAATAAATACATTTGCAAGGGTAATAGTGACACCAGTGACTGAAGTTTTGGCCAATCTCTCAAAATTGAGAAAATAACCAAAGGGAAGGCATTGTTAAAGTGAACTAAGTATGTCCTGAGAAGGACTCCATAATTATATATATGAGTCCTTGTGGATGACCTGCAACCTACCTTAATAGGTAAACAAGAATGAAAACCTAACTTGAGTGTATGCACCTCAAACAACAGCTACATCTTGGCCAATCCCAATGGCCAAACTTCAACCACTCAGGCACTGCCAAATGTTCAAACTGTGCTCAAACAAGGCAAACGCTGAGTTGTTTCTGTACCTCACTTCCGATTTCGGTATGCCACTTCCCTTTTGTCTATAAATCTTCTTCCACCACATGACTGTGCTGGAGTCTCTGTGAATCTGCTGTGATTCTGGGGACTTTCCGATTCATGAATCGTTTATTGCTCAATTAAACTCCTTTAAAGTTTTTCTTTTAACAGAACTAACACGGAAGAATTTCCAGATCATGAACAGATGTTTTGTAATACCCAACGTTGTATTAACATGAATAGACTCTTCCTTAGATAGCTAACCTTGTTTTTAATATGAATAGACTCTCCCTTAGCTGAGAAAACCAGACAAACTCCATTTGGCTCCTTCATTTACAAGACATCAAGGGCTCCTTACCCACCCCCTTTCCTCAAGGACTTTAACTTGTGCAAGCTGATTTTCAACATATCAAAGAGTGCAATTAACTGATAAAGTGCTGAGGCAAGTGAAGTCCGCAGTTTCCAGCAAATTACTCAGAGATAATATCATAAAGCCCCCACATTTGTCTGGAAGATAATGCCCAGAGCCCCCTCACTCATCACTTTGTGGTGAATTTAAAGCCTCTGCACCTGGAACAATTTGTTTTCCTGTAACCATCTGTCTTTTTAAGTTTTTTGTCTGTTTTTTCTTCTGTAAGTTTATTGCAGCTGGAATCCCCCCTCCCCTCTCTAAACCAATGTATAAAAGAAAATCTAGCCCATTCTTTAGGGCCGAGAGTATTTCCTGTGTTAGCCGTCTCTCAGTCACCAGCTAATAAAGGACTCCTGAATTCGTCTCAAAGTGTGGCATTTCTCTCTAACTTGCTTGGGTACGACAGTTTCAACTATGGTAGAAGACTCGAGTAAGACAAATACAGCCCCCCTAAATTTGACTATTATTTAGGTTAATGGTGAGTTTAGAAGAAATAAGTTAAGACTACACAGAGTGGGCTAAATTGCAAATAAACACTGAAAATATTTCCCAGAAAATATGACTTTGAACAGGCTGCTGCACACCCTGCATGTAGAGATAAACTAAGAAAAATGTGTGGAGAGTTATTTAAGGACCTGTGGTTAACTCAGTCCTCAAGATGTTCCGGGTTTCATCCATAAGTCAAGGAGGACCTCCCAAAAGCTGTTTGGGACCACACTCTTTGAGCAAGGAGCATACCTTATGATGGAAGCTGTGCTTTAGCAGCAGATGACCATTTCCACTGCACAACACGCCGTGCTTTAGCAGACGATGACCATTTCCACTGTACAACATGCTGTGCTTTAGCTTCAGATGACCATTTCCACTGCACAACACGCCATGCTTTAGCGGAAGATGACCATTTCCACTGCACAACACGCCATGCCTTAGCGGAAGATGACTGTTTCCACTGCACAACACTACAAGTGCTTACTGCCAGACCGGTGTGAAATATGTTCCAGCACATAATCTATGTCACCAATGAAGGTGGTGGTTAAGACTTGGTGCACACAAGCTTTCCTGTCCCACAAGAACACAGCATGCTCTCTTTTCGGGTTCCATTCCAATCACGTAACAAACATGACTGCCTTTTTTGTTTCGGCATCAGAAAGATCAGAGGAAACTTTGCACTCAACTTAGACAACTCTAAGCTTTTATAACCTGTCTATATCTACAGGTCAGCTTTATCTTATTTATGTATATTTCCTTCAACCTGAGTTTTACTTATTTCCACTTTTCCTTTTTAATTCACAGACACCCATAAACTCAGAAAATACAGTGTAAAACAAAGTGAAGAACAAATAAACAACTCACCAGAGATTTATTCGTTTCTTGTTGCTCTTGGAAACACCCAGAGGACACTGGAAACATAGCTGGAAGAGAAGGCAAATGACGTCGATTAAGGAGAGAACTGGTGAGGTGTGGTCCCAGATTCTTCTGCCCAACACTCTAGACACATTACCTGGAAAAGCCCTCCTCCCTCCGGAAAAAGAAAAACTTCCCCATGGGAGAAGAGTCCTTCACACCTCATTAGGGGCAGCAAAGACTCAAGTTAAGATAAGATACATCTACAAGTACATTAATTGGTAGACATTAGATGCACAATTTATTTTTGAATAAAAATATGTATTACCTACTAATTTAGTAACAATATTACCTAAAGATATAATCTAATAATTTAATACAAAGAAACATTATAAGTTCACTAAAATAAATGTTATAGAAATATACTGGGCTGTATTAACTATTTTCCTATTAATATGTGGATTCCACAAATAACTTCATATGAGTATTCCCATGACAGTACATCTTGCTTTTCTATACCTGAACATCATGGAAAGTGCATCTTGCAACCCAACAATTTTGGCCTACGTTTTTTAAAATGTACATAATATGTATTTCCTGCAGTACACCATTCTACTCATGTTTCCCAATAACACCTTTCCCTGTATCCAAGCCCTCATATTATGCTCTGACAATAAATTGGGCTTTTCCATCTGACTTGTCCAGTGAATGGACAATGGAAAATGTGATGCAAATATCCATTGGTTCTTGCCTTTTTGGACACAGTCATATTGTGAAGAGGTCTGGAGCTACCCTGTTGGAGACACAGGGCCTAGCCAAGAGTCACCACAAACCACCAGATTGTGAAGGAAACTATCTTAAACCAACCAGGCTCAGTCAAGGCACCAGGTGACTAAGGCCTGTTTTGTGATCCAGGCAACACAAATATATCAACTACCCAGCTGAACCCACCACACCAAAATGCAGATCCACAGAACTTCAAACAAATAAAATGGTGGTTGTTTTTTATAAGCTAGTAAGGTTTAATTAGTTCCTTAAACAGCAAATATTAACTGTTACACCTAAGTGAATAGAATTCAATATGTTTTTAACGAAATTATGTAGGGGGAGAAAGTCTTAAATTACAAATCAAATGCAATCAATAGAACTTCACAATCTATGCTAAATTTGGTGATGGACTAGGTTTAATATATCTCAGACACTGGAAACAACAAGCTAAGTTTGAAGGAATGGGACTGTATTTGGAGAGTATTTCCATCTTTTCAAGTATGACAGGTCACTCCTGCACCCCAGACCACACTTTCAGGCCCCTTCAAATAAGGAATATTTCCTAGGTCCTTGCCTGTTCTTCTCAGCTGAATTCACCTCAACCTTCTGAAAGTTCTTCCAAACCTTTCACTATCACCTAGTCTTTGCAAATCTTGTGCATTCTAGGGAGTAGAATTAATATTTCCTGAGCGAGGAAAACTGGGATCTTCACCTGCGACCTTTTATCCTCCTCTGAAGCACCAGTGAGAGGTTAGACCAGAGGGCTGTTCTTTCAAGTGCGCTTCTTATTCATAGGGAACCCTCCCTTTCAAACTTTATAACACACAGTGAAGACTGAAGTACCCTTAAGGCTGAAGACCATTATCCAGTACCCTATCTCCCTGGCGGAATCAGTGAGTTCCTCCATGGAAACTAGGTCTCGTATAAACTTCCATAAATGCAATCCAGGAGGACTAGGCAGGTCACACAGTGAAGGAGGGAACCAGAAACTTCACTTGCTAAATAGACACCAGGAAACCCAACTAATACAAACGCCCAGCTTAAGACTAGAGGCACACGCATTTCGCACTACTCCTCTGGGAATGGGGAACGTCTCCCCAGAACTGTGTGTTAGCACGGGGACAGATGGGCAAACTGAGCTACATGAGGGTTGGTAACCGGGTCCCTCAGCGGCAGGACAGGAGCGCGGCCTGCAGACTCCGGGCCCAGGGCCACCAGCCTCGCCTACCCACTCCTGCGCCTCTGGAACCCGCTTCACTGCTGGGACCCCACGTCTGTCCTCCCAGCCCCCGCCAGGGTCCACGGCCCGCAAATGCACGTCAGGCCCCTCCTGCCCGCGATGTGCCCACGCGTCTGCCCCCACAAATGGGGAACACTGGTCTGGCCCCCCGGGATCCCCCGAGGCCCACAGGTTCCTCTTCGCCCTCGCACCTACCCACAGGGACATAGAACCAAGCCCCAGGGCTGCTCAGCTACACGACCGCCGCTGGGATCCGCACTTCCGGAGGAAAATGGCGAAGTGGGCGGGGCGGCGCATGCGCAGAGAGAAAAGCTGGTTCCCAAGGTCCTTGATGGTAACATCATTGGAAGGTGACACTACATTTCCTATGAGGCTCTGCGGTCCCCCGTTAGGAACGCACGCCGGACATTCTGTTTTTCCCAGCAGTGAGTCCAGTTACCCGGAGACCCGGACTTAATGGATCAGGACTGGTCCCTACCCACGTGACACAGATGTGGCATTCTGGTTCGTTATTAAATCCTGGTTTCACAGCCTGGGACATTGTGAAAATAATGGAGAAATTCCAATAGAAACCAATTGGTCTATGCTGTTAATGAGTAACTTTTTTTTTTTTTGAGATGGAGTCTCGCTCTGTCACCCAGGCTGGAGTGCAATGGTGCGATCTTGGCTCACTGCAAACTCTGCCTCCCAGGTTCAAGAGATTCTCCTGCCTCAACCTCCTGAGTATCTGGGATTACAGGCGGGCGCCACCACACTTGCCTAATTTTTGTATTTTTAGTAGAAACGGGGTTTCACCATGTTGGTCAGGCTGGTCTCTAACTCCTAACCTCGTAATCCGCCCTCCTAGGCCTCCCAAAGTGCTGGGATTACAGGCGTGAGCCACCGCGCCCAGCCCTCAAGTCTATTTTTTATAGATGCATTCAAAAGCATGAAAAAAATCATGTCTCTATTTTACTTTAAATTTTTAAAAACACAACTAATGAATATGGTAATTCTCTTCCAATCTGTTATCTTTTCTCTCACGAAACTAATTTGTGAGCTTTCAATTTACACAGTTAGAAAAAAATGCTCTAGTGTATATACTAGGATAAAATATCAGGGTCATAAGACAAGTGCACTCCATAATCTTTGTGACAACTTACACTTCCAGTGTCTGATGAACATTTGCCCATAAACTCCCACGTTTCATCCATCCATCCATCAATCAAATCTACCTATCTTTATTTATTTATTGTGCGAAATACCTGAACTTTGCCTTTCCTTCCCTGATTTCTGCCACAAACTAGGCAAGGAGTTCTGCCTAGGGGTTTTTCAGAGCTTCGGTTACCACCGAGGTTCCTAACAGGGAAATTCCCAGCTTGAATGCTTGGGGTTGATGTGGGAGTGCGTGTGAAACGGGTGTGGGGTGAAAGGACAGTGAAATTTGTAGGTGGGTAGATGGGGGTGTGAAGGGCTTTCAGGTAAGAGGCACAGAGGAAACTGGGAGAGGCAGCGAAAGCACTTCATACCTCAGATAACCAGAAGATGCTCCCACCAGCGCCATGACAGTTTGCCAGTGCCATGGCAACACAGGAAGTCCCCACCCCTTGCCATGGAAACAGCTGGAAGTTACTGCCCATTTCTAGCTATTTCTGAGTAACCCGCCCCTTAATTAGCATGTCATTAAAAGTGAATTATAAAAATGACTACAAGCCACCCCTAGGCTGCTACTCTGGGAGCACAACCCACAGAGGGCTCCCTGCCCTGCAGGAGTGGACGCAGGGCTGTAACACCGCCAATGCCTCCATAGAGCTGCTTTATTCCACCACAGGCTTGCTTTTGGATTCCTTCCTGAGCGACGCCAAGAACCTGCCCTTCCTCAGTGTGACTCTTGCCTAAAATCTATCCCTGGTTTTCTCTTTTCCTAAGCATGCCCTGACTTGTTCTTTCATCTCCTCTGAACTTGCAATTGCTCCTCAGTGACTCTATTCTGCAGATCCAGAAAACTCAACCTTAATCTTCCCAGAGCCCTGTTGTCTCCAATATTGGAAACTCTAGCCTTGCTTTCTCAGATGCCTAGATTACAGGCCTCTCTCTTGAACACCTATTGGTAAGATATCCGGGGATCCTTTAAATACACGATGATTGGCAGGGTTTACATAGGGGAAATCAGTGCCTGACAATTCGCCTTCCAGGATATGGATTGTCATTCCCTCTCTTTGTGGGCCCCAGTCTCCTATACATAAAAGTAGAGATTATAATACTCATTTGACTTGCAGATACCTCACCCCGAACCCACCTACTATAATGTAAAAGCCAAGAATGCAAACCCTTTCCTCACCCCGTGAAGGTAAAATCCTCAGAGCCAAGGAGAGAAGGCTCAGGGATGGTACCTGGGTGTTTCCAACACTAACCATGCATTGTAGTTTTTAGTGTTCAAGTTTAAGCTTCTTATGTTAAAGTTACCCCAGCTTTAATTATATTGTAACAAGATTTATTTTTGTAATTCCATTTTTGGATTCTTGATTTCTTGGTAAAGAAATACAGTTATTTTTGTATACCAATCTTATATAGTGTTACATTCCAAAATTTGTTCATGAGTCCTAACACTTTTTAGTAAATTTCTTATGATTTTCTAAATGCAAGATCATGTCATCTGTACATAAAGATAACTGTACTTCTTCCTTTCCAATCTAGATGCCGTTTATTTATTTACATTACCAAGTTGTCCCAGCTACCACTGTTATCAAGTAAAAGGGTCTCACTGCCCAAAGCTCTAGAAGCCAGTAACATGACACTGAGTTTTTGAGAAGAGAAAAACTTTAAAGTCAAACCAAAACCTATGGGATACAGGCCAGGCGCAGTGGCTCATGCCTGTAATCCCAGCACTTTGGGAGGCCGAGTCGGGTGGATCACAAGGTCAGGAGATCAAGACCGTCCTGGCTAACACGGTGAAACCCCGTCTCTACTAAAAATACAAAAAACAAAAATTAGCTGGGCATGGTGGCGGGCACCTGTAGTCCCAGCTACTCAACTGAGGCGGGAGAATGGCATGAACCCAGAAGGCAGAGCTTGTAGTAAGCCAAGATTGCACCACTGCACTCCAGCCTGGGCAACAGAGAGAAACTCCGTCTCCAAAAATAAACAAAAACAAAAAAACAAAAAACAAACCTATGGGATACAGTAAAAACAGTACTAAGGAGTAAGTTTATAGCTAAAAGCACCTACATCAAAGAAAGTAGAAAAACTTCAAATAAACAACCTAATAATGCATCTTAAATAGTTAGAAAAGCAAGAGCAAACCAAAACCAAAATTAGTAGAAGGAAACATAACAAAGATCAGAGCAGAAATAAATGAAATTGAAATTTAAAAATATAAAATATCAATGAAATGAAAAGTTAATATTTTTTTAAAAGATCAACAAAATCAACAAACATTTAGCCATACTAAGAGAAAAGAGAGAAGACTCAAATACATAAAACCAGAGATTAAAAAGGAGACACTGCAACTGATACTGCAGAAATTCAAGTAATCATTAGAAACTATTATGACCAACTATATTCCAATAAATTGAAAAACCTGCAAGTAATGGCCAGGTACCGTGGTTCATTCCTGTAATCCCAACACTTTGGGAAGCCAAGGCAGGTGATCACCTGAGATCAGGAGTTCAAGACCAGCCTGGCCAACATGGTGAAACCCCATCTCTACTAAAAATACAAAAATTAGCCAGGCATGGTGGCATGCACCTGTACTCCCAGCTACTCCAGAGGCTGAGGCAGGAGAATCGCTTGAACCTGGGAGGCAGAAGTTGCAGTGAGCTGAGATTGTACCAAGCTCCATCCTGGGTGACAGAGCAAGACTCCATCCTGGGTGACAGAGCAAGACTCCATCTCAAAAAAAAAAAAAAAAAAAAACAACACAACCAAACCACAAACCTAGAAGAACTGGATAAATGAGATTGAACCCATAATAAAACATCTCCTAGCAAAGAAAAGCCTGGATCCAATGGCTTCACTGATTAATTTTACCAAACATTGAAGGAAGAATTACTATCAATCCTACTCAAACTATTCCAAAAAACAGAGAAGTCTGTAATATTTCCAAAATCATTCTATGAAAAAGACCATTCATCTTGTCTAAGTGGGATTCATCCCAAGGATGCCAACATGGTTCAACATATGCAAATCAATCAATGTGACACATCATATCAACAGAATGAAGGACAAAAAACATATGGTAATTTCAATTGATGCTGAAAAGCATTTAATAAAATCCAACTTCCCTGTGATAAAAAGAAACCCCCAAAAAAACTAGATTTAGAAGGAACATACCACAACACAATAAAAACCATATGCAACAAACCCTCAGCCAGTATCATCCTGAACAGAGATAAACTGAAAGCCTTTCTTCTAAGATCTGGAACAAGGCAAGAATGTCCACTTCCAACAATGTTACTCAACATAGTACTGGAAGTCCTAGCTAGAGCAATCAAGAAAATTGAAAAACAGTAAAGGGCATCCAAATTTAAAGAAATAAAATTATTATTGTTTTCTTGTTTGCAGGTGATTTGATCTTATATTTGGAAAAACCTAAGAACTCCACCAAAAAACTATCAGAACTGATCAACAAATTCAGAGTCACACGATACAAAATCAAAATGCAAAAATCAGTAACATTTCTAAATGTCAAAACTGAACAATCTAAAGAAGAAAATCAAGAACGTAATCCCATTTACAATAGCTACAAATAAAATAAAATATCTAGGAATAAATGTAACATAAGAAGTGAAAGATCTCTACGATGAAAACTATAGAACACCAATGCAAAAAAATTAAAGAAGACACCAAAAAAAAAATGGAAAGATAGTCCATGTTCATTGATTGGAAGAGTAAATATTGTTAAAATACACATACTTCACAAAGCAATCTACAGACCCAATGCAATCCCTATTGAAATATTAATAACATTCTTCACAGAAACAGAAAAAAAATCCTAAAATTTATATGAAATCATAAAAGAACCAGAATACCCAAAGCCATCCGTAGCAGAAAGAACAAAACTGGAAGAATCACATCACCTGACGTTAAATTATACTACAGAGCAATTGTAAGCTAAACAGCATGGTACTGTCATAAAACAGACACAGACCAATGGAACAGAATAGAGAACCCAGAAATAAATCCTTACATTTACAACTAACTCATTTTCAATGAAGGTGCCAAGAATATACATGGGGGAGAGGACAGTCTCTTCACCAAATCGTGCTGGGAAAACTAGATATTCATTGGCAGAATTTTTTTTTTTTGAGATGGAGTCTAGCTCTGTTGCTCAGGCTGCAGTGCAGTGGCGCGATCTGGGCTCACTGCAAGCTCCACCTCCCGGGTTCACACCATTCTCCTCCTCAGCCTCCCAAGTAGCTGGGAGTACAAGTGCCCCCATCACGCCCAGCTATTTTTTGTTTTGTATTTTTAGTAGAGACGGAGTTTCACCGTGTTAGCCAGGATGTTCTTGATATCCTGCTCTCAGGATCTGCCCACCTCAGCCTCCCAAAGTCATTGGCAGAATAATCAAACTAGAACCCTCTCTTGTGCTATATACAAAAATCAAATCCAAATGGGTTAAAGACTTAAATCAAGGACAAGAAACTACTGAAAGAAAACATTAGGGAAACTCTCCAGGAAATTGTTCTGGGCACAGATTTCTTGAGTAATACTCCAAAAGCTCAGGCAACCAAAGCAAAAATGAACAAATGGTATCACATGAAGTTCAAAAGTTTCTGCATAGTAAAGAAAACAATGGACAAAGTGAAAAGACAATCCACAGAATGGAAGAAAATATTTGCAAACTATATATCTGACAAGGGATTAATAACCAGAATATATAAGGAGTTCAAACAACTCTATAAGAAAAAAACTAATAATTCAATTATTTAAATGGGCAAAAAATCTGAACAGACATTTCTCAAAAGAAGGCATGCAGGTCAGGCGCAGTGGCTCACACCTGTAATTCCAGCATTTTGGGGAACCAAGACAGTTGGACCACTTGAGCCCAGGAGTTCAAGACCAACCTGAAAAACATAGCAAATAATTTTTAAACCTACCTGGGCATGGTGATGCATGCCTGTGGTCCCAGCTACTCAGGAGGCTGAGGTGGGAGGATTGCTTGAACCCTGGTAGTCATAACTACAGTAAGCCATCATTATACCACTGCACTCCAGCCTGGGTGACAGAGTGAGACACTGTCTCAAAAAATGAGCAAAAACAAAAAAGAAGATATATAAATGTCAAATAGGTATATGAAAAGATGCTCAATATCACTGATCATCAGAGAAATTCAAATCAAAACTACAATAAGATATCATCTTACCCCCATTAAAATGGCTTTTATGCAAAAGACAGGCAATAACAAATGCTTGCAAGAATGTAGGGAAAAGAGAACCCTCTTACTCTGTTGGTGGGAATGTAAATTAGTACATTCACTATGGAGAACAATATGGAGGTCCCTCAAAAAATTAAAAATAGAACTATCATATGATACAGCAATCCCACTGCTGGGTATATACCCAAGGGAGGGAAAATTAGTATATGAAAGAGATATCTGCATTCCCATATTTATTTCAGCACTATTCATAATAGCCAAGATTTGGAAGCAACCTAAGTGTGCATCAACAGATGAAGGGATGAAGAAAATGTAGTACATGTACACAATGGAGTACTCTTCGGCCATGAAAAAGAGTAAGATTCTGTCACTTGCAACAACGTGGATGGAACTAGGGAACATTATGTTAAGTACAATGAGCCAGGCACAGAAAGACTTTGCATGTTCTCACACATTTGTGGGAGCTAAAAATTAAAACAATTGAACTCATCAAGATGGAGAGTAGACTGAGAGTTTCCAGAGGCTGGGAAGAGTAGTGGTGTTACGGGATCTTTGGAGTGTCACTTTTCTGGACAGAAACCTCTATGGCTGGTGGCACCTTTACCTGAGTTTTGCTTGGGCCCCGCCCACTCAGCCTGGCTGGCTGTGCTCAGCTCATGCTACCAGGTTGGATCCCATGTTTGCCAAGGGAGACTGCGTGGAGTGGCAAGGGGTGTGTGAGCAAGCATGGGGTCTGGCCACTGTGCAGCCAGACTTCCTGGCTGCTGCAGTGGGGCAGGTAGCTCCAGGTGCCAACATGGGTGCCAGCTCTCCACAAATCTGTGGCTGGACCACGGGCACCGCAAGCAGCTTCCGCAGCTGGCACACTGGGAACACAGTGGCACCTGGAAGCTTGGAGATACCAGGAACCACAGGGCCCCAAAGAGGGAATCACAGCTCTGGCTCGGGGAGCTCCCAGGTCTGGGCTTCCCAAAGCGTCACAGCTCTTGTTTCCTTCTCTTTGCCCACAATGTGGCAAGCAAGGGGCATGACTCAGCCCTGTTTGTGTTACAGCTCTTTCAGCCTCTTCCCTAGGATTTGTCATAATTAATTATCATATTGTCTTATTTTTTTACATTTGTTTCAACTTCAGAAGATGCATGGATCTAAACACAACATAATGTGTTAGCTAGCTGCCATATGAATTTCTCCGTGTTTCACCACTATGCAGCCTAAAGTTATTCCGTCATCCATGACTATCCTGGCTAAAGAGTCTAAAGATCTTTGTTTGGTAGCTATGGCTTCAGCTAGTTCATTCGCTAATTTACCTAGAGTGGTTGACAGATTTCTAATTATACATTCATGAGAGGTTACTCCCCACCATTGCAAGTGACTTCTGCCAAACATTGGCCAAAATTCACCTCCTTGGTTTGCAGGTATGGTTTGTCTAATCCTGGAAAGTAATTTCGATGAACTACTTCAGTGTTCAGAAACATTGGAGTTATAAATAGAAAGAGGAAGAGTCACATAACCTAATAGACAATTACTTCTCATATGCCAGCGGTCAACACATTCATAAGCCCATGGGTGGTTGATCCAGGGACCACACAGGGTCCCTGACAGACTCTGAAAGTTAAGGGTTTGGTTTACTGGTAACAGAGACAGGTTAAAGTACATGTCTTCAGTCTTGAGTAGAGTGTAATCAGTCTCATTTTTTTTTTTTAATGAGACAAACATCAGGTAAAGACCTTGACAAGAAGGAAGAGAAATCCCGAGATTCTATAATCATAATAATTGAATTGTAATTGCTAGTTTAAGTAGTCCTTCAAAAATACATCTCATTCCTGACAGGATAAAACAAGTTTTAAAAAATATATTATATTCAGATTCACTAGGGAACACTTGGAGCCAGGAAATAATTCAGGATTCAGCCCAAATTATAGGCAAATAATAAAAACTCTAAAACAATGATCAGGGTTGGAATCTAATAGCATATGTCATAGTTTTCTTTTGGAACATAAATTTTCTCTCTAGTCCATCATTTTTTCAAAGACAAATCATAGTAGGACCAATTTTGTATGCAAAATAAGTTTTAGTCTTATCATACCGGGCCTGATTATTTCCATAAAGGGCAGCAAGAATATTTATTGGCCATATAGGCTTCTTAAAATTGGCTTTGTTGGAAATTTTTAATAAGGAATCTGAGACTTTTAAGAGCCTTGAAGCTAGCCAAGTCAAAGATTTGCATCAGACTGTGTCTGTAATACTTTTTTAACCTACTTTTTAAAATTATACTTTAAGTTCTGGGGTACATGTGCAGAACGTGCAGGTTTGTTACATAGGTATATATATTCTGTGGTGGTTTGCTGCACCCATCAACCCATCTCCTATATTAGGCATTTCTCCTAATGCTATTCCTCTCCCTGCCCCCACCCCCCAACAGGCCCCAGTGTGTGATGTTCCCCTCCCTGTGTCCATGTGTTCTCATTGTTCAACTCCCACTTATGAGTGAGAACATGTGGTGTTTGGTTTTCTGTTCTTGTGTTAGTTTGCTGAGAATGATGGTTTCCAGCTTCTTCCATGTCCCTGCAAAGGACATGAACTCATCGTTTTTTATGGCTGCATAGTATTCCATGGTGTATATGTGCCACATTTTCTTTATTCAATCTATCATTGATGGGCATTTGGGTTGGTTCCAAGTCTTTATTATTGTGAACAGTCCTGCAATAAACATACATGTGCATGTGTCTTTATAGTAGAATGATTTATAATCCTTTGGGTATATACTCAGTAATGGGATTGCTGGGCCAAACGGTATTTCTAGCTCTAGATCCTTGAGGAATAGCCACACTGTCTTCCACAATGGTTGAACTAGTTTACACTCCCACCAACAGTGTAAAAGCCTTCCTATTTCTCCACACTCTCTCCAGTATTTGTTGTTTCCTGACTCTTTAATTTTCGCCATTCTAACTGGCATGAGATGGTATCTCATTGTGGTTTTGATTTGCATTTCTCTAATGACTAGTGATGATGAGCTTTTTTATAAGTTTGTTGGTTGCATAATTGTCCTCTTTTGAGAAGTGTCTGTTCACATCCTTTGCCCACTTTTCAATGGGGTTGTTTTATCTTGCAAATTTGTTTAAGTTCTTTGTAGATTCTGGATATTAGCCCTTTGTCAGATGGATAGACTGCAAAAATTTTCTCCCATTTTGTAGGTTGCCCGTTCACTCTGATAGTTTCTTTTGCTGTCCAGAAACTTTTTAGTTTAATTAGGTCCCATTTGTCAATTTTGGCTTTTGTTGCCTTTGTTTTTGGTGTTTTAGTCATGAAGTCTTTGCCCATGCCTATGTCCTGAATGGTATTGCCTAGGTTTTCCTCTACGGTTTTTATGGCTTTAGGTCTTTTGTTTAAGTCTTTAACCCATCTTGAGTTAATTTTTGTATAAGGTGTAAGGAAGGGATCCAGTTTCAGCTTTCTGCCTATGGCTAGCCAGTTTTCCCAACACCATTTATTAAATAGGGAATCCTTTCCCCAGTGCTCGTTTTTCTCAGGTTTGTCAAAGATCAGATGGTTGTAGATGTGTGGTGCTATTTTTGAGGCCTCTGTTCTGTTCCTTTGATCTATATATCTGTTTTCGTACCAGTACCATGCTGTTTTGGTTGCCATAGCTTGTAATATAGTTTGAAGTCAGGTGGCATGATGCTTCCAGCTTTGTTCTTTTTGGTTAGGGTTGTCTTGGCTATTCGGGCTCTTTTTTGATTCCATATGAAATTTAAAGTATATTTTTCCAATTCCGTGGAGAAAGTCAATGGCAGTTTAATGGGGATAGCAGTGAATCTATAAATTACTTTGGGCAGTAGGTCACTTTCACGATACTGATTCTTCTTATCTATGAGCATGGAATGATTTTCCATTTGTTTGTGTCCTCTCTTATTTCCTTGAGGAGTGGTTTGTAGTTCTCCTTGAAGAGGTCCTTCACATCCTTGTAAGTTGTATTCCTAGGTATTTCATTCTTTTTATAGCAATGGTGAATGGGAGTTCACTCACAGTTTGGCTCTCTGTTTGTCTGTTATTGCTGTATAGGAATGCTTGTGATTTTTGCACATTGATTTTGTATCCTGAAACTTTGCTGAAGTTGCTTATCAGCTTAAGGAGATTTTGGGCTGAGATGATGGGGTTTTCTAAATATACAATCATGTCATCTGCAAAGAGAGACCATTTGACTTCCTCTTTTCCTAATTGAATACCCTTTATTTCTTTCTCTTGCCTGATTGCCCTGGCCAGAACTTCCAATACTATGTTGAATAGGAGTAGTGAGAGAGGGTATCCTTGTCTTGTGCTGATTTTGAAAGGGAATGCTTCCAGTTTTTGCACATTCAGTATGTTACTGGCTGTGGGTTTGTCATAAATAGCACTTATTATTTTGAGATACGTTCCATCAATACCAGTTTATTGAGAGTTTTTAGCATGAAAAGTTGTTGAATTTTGTCAAAGGCCCTTTCTGCATCTATTGAGATAATCATGCAGTTTTTGTCATTGGTTCCCTTTATGTGATGGATTACATTTATTGATTTGCATATGTTGAACCACCCTTGCATCCCAGGGGTGAAGCCGACTTGATCATGGTGGACAAGCTTTTTGATGTGCTGCTGGATTCAGTTTTCCAGTATTTTATTCAGGATTTCTGCATCAATGTTCATCAGGGATATTGGTCTAAAGTTTTCTTTTCTTGTTGTGTCCCTGCGAGGTTTTGGTATCAAGTTGATGCTGACCTCATAAAATGAGTTAGGGAGGATTCTCTCTTTTTCTATTGTTTGGAATAGTTTCAGAAGGAATGGTACCAGCTCCTCTTTGTACCTCTAGTAGAATTCGGCTGTGAATCCATCTGGTCCTGGAATTTTTTTGGTTGGTAGGCTATAATTAATGCCTCAATTTCAGAACTTGTTATTGGTCTATTCAGGAATTTCACTTCTTCCTGGTTTAGTCTTGGTAGTATTCTCTGATGATAATTTGTATTTCTGTGGGATCAGTGGTGATATCCCCTTAATCATGTTTTATTGCATCTATTTGATTCTTCTCTCTTTTCTTCTTTATTAGTCTGGCTAGTGGTCTGATTTGTTGATCTTTTCAAAAAACCAGCTCCTGGATTCATTGATTTTTTGAAGGGTTTTTCATGTCTCTATCTCCTTCAATTATGCTCTGATCTTATTTGTGTCTTGTCTTCTGCTAGCTTTTGAATTTGTTTGTTCTTGCTTCTCTAGTTCTTTTAATTTTCATGTTAAGGTGTCAATTTTAGATCTTTCCTGCTTTCTCTTGTGGACATTTAGTGCTATAAATTTCCCTCTACACACTGCTTTAAATGTGTCCCAGAGATTCTGGGACGTTGTGTCTTTGTTCTCATTGGTTTCGAAGAACATTTTTATTTCTGCCTTCAATTCTTTATTTACCCAGTAGTCATTCAGGATCAGGTTACCCAGTTTCCATGTAGTTGTGAGGTTTTGAGTGAGTTTCTTAATCCTGCATACTAATTTGAATGCATTGCGGTCTGAGAGACTGTTTGTTATGATTTCCATTCTTTTGCATTTCCTGAGGAGAGTTTTACTTCCAATTATGTGGTCAATTTTAGAATAAGTGCAATGTGGTGCTCAGAAGAAGGTATATTCTATTGATTTGGGGTGGAGAGTTCTGTAGATATCTTTTAGGTCCACTTGGTCCAGAACTGAGTTCAAGTCCTGGATATTCTTGTTAATTTTCTGTCTCATTGATCTAATATTGACAGTAGAGTGTTAAAGTCTCCCACTATTATTGTGTGGGAGTCTAAGTCTCTCTGTAGGTCTTTAAGAACTTGCTTTATGAATCTGAGTGCTCCTGTATTGGGTGCATATATGTCTAGGATAGTTAGCACTTCTTGTTGCATTGATCCCTTTACCATTATGTAGTGCCCTTCTTTGTCTCTTTTGATCTCTGTTGGCTTAAGATCTGTTTTATCTGAAACTAGGATTGCAACCCCTGCCTTTTGTTGCTTTCCACTTGCTTGGTAAATGTTCCTCCATCCCTTTATTTTGAGCCTATGTGTATGAGATGGGTCTCCTGAGTACAGCACATTGATGGGTCTTGACTCTTTTTCCAATTTGCCAGTCTGTGTCTTTCAATTGGGGGCATTTAGCTCATTTACATTTAAGGTTAATATTGTTATGTATGAATTTGATCCTGTCATTATGATACTAGCTGGTTATTTTGCTCATTAGTTGATGCAGATTTTTCATAGTGTCAATGGTCTTTATAATTTGTTATGTTTTTGCAGTGGCTGTTACCAGTTGTTCCTTTCCATGTTTAGTGCTTCCTTCAGGAGCTCTTGTAAGGCAGGCCTGGTGGTGACAATATCTCTCAGCATTTGCTTGTAAAGGATTTTATTTCTACTTCAATTATGAAGCTTAGTTTGCCTGGATATGAAATTCTGGCTTGAAAATTCTTTTCTTTAGGAATGTTGTATATTGGCCCCCACTCTCTTCTGGCTTGTAGGCTTTCTGCCAAGAGATCCAATGTTAGTCTGATGGGCTTCCCTTTGTGGGTAACTCAACCTTTCTCTCTGGCTGCCCTTTATATTTTTTCCTTCATTTCAACCTTGGTGAATCTGATGATTTTATGTCTTGGGGTTGCTCTTCTTGAGGAATATCTTAGTGGTGTTCTCTGTATTTCCTGAATTTGAATGTTGGCCTGTCTTGCTAGGTTGGGGAAGTTCTCCTGGATAATATCCTTGAGAGTGTTTTCCAACTTGGTTCCATTCTCTCTGTCACTTTCAGGTACACGAATCAAACATAGATTCAGTGTTTTAACATATTCCTCTATTTCTTGGAGGCTTTTTTCATTTCTTTCACTCTTTTTTCTCGAATCTTTTCTTCTTGCTTTATTTCATTGAGTTGATCTTCAATCTCTGATATTCTTTCTCCTGCTTGATTGATTCAGCTATTGATACTTGTGTATGCTTCATGAAGTTCTTGTGCTGGGTTTTTCAGCTCCATCAGGTCATTTATATTCTTCTCTAAACTGGTTATTCTAGTTAACAATTCGTCCTACCTTTTTTTTTCAGGCTCTTAGCTTCCTTGCATTGGGTTAGAACACCCTCCTTTAGCTTGGAGGAGTTTGTTATTACCCGCCTTCTGAAGCCTACTTCTGTCAATCCATCAAACTCATTGTCTGTCCAGTTTTGTTCCCTTGCTGGTGGGGAGTTGTGATCTTCTGGAGGAGAAGAGGCATTCTGGCTTTTGGAGTTTTCAGCCTTTTTGCACTAGTTTCTCCCCATCTTTGTGGATTTATCTACCTTTGGTCTTTGATGTTGGTGATGTTGATACTATTCCTTTATGTTTGTTAGTTTTCCTTCTACCAGTCAGGTCCCTCCGCTGCAGGTTTGCTCGAGTTTGCTGGAGGTCCACTTCAGACCCTGTTTGCCTGGGTATCACCAGTGGAGGCTCAGTTGGAAATGCATGAACCACCTGCCTTCTGTGTTGATCCCACTGGGTGCTGCAGACCGGAGCTGTTCCTATTCAGACATCTTGCCAGCTCTCCTGTAATACTTTTATGAATGGGTGTAGTCCTATCTTCTCAAGGTCCCCAAATAACTTGAGGTTCCTGGGCCTGTCAGAAAGTGACATTCTTTACTTCTTACCACAAGGACAGCAACTTTGTAAAGGACCCTTGTAGACAAGACACCAAGCCAGTCATTCTAAGGGGCTTTGCATTGGTGCTATAAAGTCAAGCTCAATTCCTTAAAGTGGTCTGGTTGTATCTGCCGTTCGAGTTAAAGCCTTGATAAAACAAACAGTGTCTCCAATTGAATCCTGTTACCAAAAACAGATTCTTATTGAAATTATGCAAATAATTATATTGCCATAATTTAGGAATGCTCACGAATGGCTTCTGAATTCTGGAGAAATCAGTTAGAGAGACAGATAAATGGCTCAAATTTTTGTTCACAATGTAGTTTTTCTAACGTAGGGTAAGTTAAAAATAGCTGAAAAGAAAAAAAATTCTTGACTTTGGAAAACAAAACATAAAGAGAATCAACAATGTTTCCAATGGAAGGGCCATGAATAAAATCTTTTCCTTCTTTTATAAGTTCAGTCCAATGTAACTAAATCTTGTTCTGCTTGATTTCAAATAGCAATTCTCATTCAGTTTTTTGTGTTTTGCTTGATTTCAATTGGAAATCCTCATTCAGCTTTTTAGAGTCCTGGAAGATTTTCCTAGTCCAATGGTATGATCCCCAAAGTTATCTGAAACCATATTTAAGAGAACTTGTCAGAGTCCTTTCCATTAAAAGTAATTTAGATGATAGCTGATTGTAAAGGCTTTTTTTTTTTTTTTTGAGACATGGTCTGGTTCTATCACTCAGGATGGAGTGTTGTGGCATGATCTTGGCTCACCACAATTTCTCCCTCCCAAACTCAAGCCATCCTCCTACCTCAGCCTCCGAAGTAGTTGGGACCATAGGCATGCACCATCATGCTGGCTAATTTTTGTATTTTTGTAGAGACAGGGTTTTACCATGTTGCCCAGGATGCTTTCAAACTTCTTAGTTCAAGCAAGTCACCCACCTCGGCCTTGCAAAGTGTTTTGATTTTTACACGTGTGAGCCACCGTGCCCTGCACCACGCCCAGCACCGTGCCCTGCACAGCCTCCAGCAGCACGCCCGGCCTGTAAAGGGTTTTAGAGAAGAACTTTAATCAATCACCGTGGATGACAAAAACTTAGAATATCCTTTGGTTAAAATCCAGTGGAAGTTCTCGACCTGCGAGAAAATTTAGTTATTTCTATTATATGTAGCATTTTAAGATAACAGCCAGAATCATGACTGACGGCAACACATCAGATCCATCAGACTTCCACAAATTTTATATAATCTTTAGAATATTTATATTAATAATATATCTATACATATACAACTATAGAGAATATTTAACATCATCAAAATTATGACTGATACCATATTAGATTTTTATAATTTATATAACATTTAAAATATGTATATTAATAATATACCTATAAATGTAACCAAAAGAAGATTTAGGCCAGGCACAGTGGCTCATGTCTGTAATCCCAACACTTTGGGAGGCCAAGTTGGACAGATCATCAGAGGTCAGGAGTTTGACACCAGCCTGGCCAACATGGAGAACTCTTGTTTCTACTAAAAATACAAAATTAGCCGGGCGTGGTGGCATGTGTCTGTAGTCTCAGCTACTTGGGAGGTTGAGGCAGGAGAATCGCTTGAACCTTGGGGCAGAGGTTGCAATGGACCTAGATCACGCCACTGCACTCCAGCCTGGGTGACAAAGCAAGATTCTGTCTCAGAGAAAAAAAAAAGAAGATTTAGTGTTACTTATCTTTTGGCACTGCTTCCCATACAATGTTATCAACTAAGATTTAGCAAAGATGTCAAAAAATTGAAAACATTTGACCAAAACAGAATGACAGTTTATTGTTTTTTATTTTATTATTTTTTTGAGACAGGGTCTCACCCTGTTGCCCAGGCTGGAGTGCAGTGGTGAAATCATGGCTCACTGCAGCCTCAACCTCCCAGGCTCAGGTGATCCTCCACCTTAGTATCCCAAGTAGCCAGGACTATGAGCACTTGTTACGACACATAGCTAGCTTTTGTATTTTCAGTAGAGATGCGGTTTTGCCATTTTGCCCAGGCTGGACTTGAACTCCTGGGCTCAAGTGATCCACCCACCTTGGCCTCCCAAAGGGCAGGAATTACAGACATGAGCCGCTGCACACAGCCACATGTCATTTTTAAATAACAGTCATTCATTTAATTAGCATGACAACCAAAAGACATCAAAAGCAACGTAGAAGGTTACATGGATGTGATAACTGAAAACCCTCAGTTTTCCCAAGTAATTAAAAAAAAATAAAGGCAACACATGGATTATCTTGATAAAACCTAAAATCTTTATTACAGGCCAGTCATTTAAAGGGTAAAACTCCTGTGGCATAACTGTGTCTTCTTACGGGAAGCTAATTTAAATCACTTGGAAGTCAATTCCGATGACAAGGAGACTTGAATTTAATTAGACATAGAAAGAGTTTGTCCAGGGTCATGAGTGAGCATAATATTACAAAGGAATGTCAACAGGAAAACCAGAGCATAGAGCAGTGGGGATCCATAGCTCACAATGATAGCAAGAAAGTTTCCTGGTTACATGAAGTAATTAAGACATATTTAAAAGCCAAGAGTATAAAATTAGACCTGATGAAAAAGCTGAAGGAGTTATCATCCCAGCCAAGCAGGAAACCCAAGCCTTTTATTCCTTCTCAAGAAGGAACAGGAGACAGTGATGTGATCTGTGAGTCATGTGTAACATGAAAGTACAGGAGAAGTTGAACTTCTGATATACAAATCTGAAAAGATTTTATAGTAACAGATTTCAGGATTAAAAGTCAATATTTATTACCTCTTATTATGAGCAAATAAATACATTAAGAAAACCTTGTTGTTTTAACCAAAATTTTTAGTTTTTTATCACTGTTTTTAATATTATAGCTAATTTAAATAAACTTTATAAACAATCTATCTGATCTCAATCAGTTTTGGCCTCGATGTAAGATTTACATAAACTTTTAATAACCTTGTATAATTTTTTCATCTTTCCCAACTTTTTATACACATGTAGTTTTATCTATCTTTTTTATTCCTTCAATTTAAATTAATCCTTAAAAATCTCTAAGTGAATTTACTTTCTCTGAAACAAAAACCGGTATACATTTTGCATACAGAATTGTTTCTCTTGTATCTAGTAGTCTTAATCACACATATCTAGCAAGATATTAACACTTAGTAACCCTTATTTTAATAAAAAACCTAGGAAGCAAGAAATCTGGAATTGTCATATAGCAGTATCTTACATATGAGAATAATTTCATAATTTAGAATTGTGTGTTCCTAAAACATATTTTTTAAGATGGATTTTTGCTCTTGTTGCCCAGGCTGGAGTGCAATGGTGTGATCTCAGCTCACTGCAATCTCCGCCCCCCAGGTTCAAGTAATTCTCCTGCCTCAGCCTCCCGAGTAGCTGGGATTACAGGAACCCACCACCACACCTGGCTAATTTTTTGTATTTTTTAGTAGAGATGGGGTTTCACCATGTTGATCAGGCTGGTCTTGAGCTCCTGACCTCGGGTGAGCCACCCACCTTGGCCTCCCAAAGTGCAGGGATTACAGGCGTGAGCCACAGTGCCTGGGCTAAAACATAAGTTTTAAATTGGAAATAACCCAGATATTTAATGAGTATCTATTATTTAATTTAACATAACTAAAATTTCAAAAATAGGCTGGGCATGGTGGCTCACACCTGTAATCCCAACACTTTAGGAGGCCTAGGCAGCAGTATCATGAAACCAGCCTGAGCAAAATAGTGAGATGCTGACTCTACAAAAAAAATAAAAGTTAGCTGACCACGGTGGTGTATGCCTGTAATTAACAGCTACATGGGAGGCTGAGGTGGGAGGATCCCTTGAGAGCAGAAGGTCAAGGTTGCAGTGAGCTGTGATCATGCCACTGCACTTCAGCGTGGGTGACAGACAGAGACACTGTCTCAAAAAAATTTCAAAAATACATTAAGATGTCTTGTATAGACATTTATCCATTTACATTTACTTATTTTTGACAGTTTATCTAGAGTATTTGTGAGAACTGAGGTATTAGACAAAGCTAGTCATCATTTCTAGGTTATTTTCTTGTTAACCATGTTATAGCCTGTGAATATCAGGTGTTCACGTAAGTGAGGACTTCAAAGTTAAATACATGGGTATTTTACCAATAACTCAGAAAATTCCATTATTTTTGTTCAACAAACCATATTAAATTGGTCTTATGTATTTAAAAAATCACATAAACAAATATTCTTTTTTCCTGTGTTTATAGCTTTATAACCTTCATGCCAAACCCTAGCACCTTAAAATATCTAGCAAATGTAAATATAAAACACAGTCAAAAATGTATGCTGACAAGTCTGAAGAGATTTCTATTTTCTATTTTTATTTTATCAATACTTTTTAAATTATTTGTATTTATAAAAGAACTCTTTTGTCTGGGCACAGTGGTTCATGCCTGTATCCCAGCACTTTGAGAGGCTGAGGCAAGAGGATCATTTGAGCTCAGGAGTTTGAGACCAGCCTGGGCAACATAGTGAGACCCAATCTCTACTAAGAATAAGATAAAAAATTGCCAGGCATGGTGGTGCATGCCTATTGTCCCAGCTACTAGAGAGGATGAGGCAGGAGGATTGCTTGAGCCTGGGAGGTTGAGATAACAGTGAGCTACGATCCCACTACTGCACTCCAGTCTGGGGAACAGAGTGAGACCTTAGAGTGAGACCTTGTCTCAAAAAGAGAAAAAAATAAAGAATTGTTTCATTCTTTTGTTTTTCTTCAGCCAAGTGACCTTGAATTAGTAACACCACAGACAGTAAGTCTTATCTCAACACCAGTAGACAAATCAGCAGATTCAAAGTAGGCAGGGAAAAAAAAATAGATAGGCAAAAGAACTGAGACTTTTTCACTTTAGGGTTTTTAAAAATAGTAACTATTTGAGTTCTGAATTTTCTTTCATGTAATTTGGCCATCAGGTTTAAAGTGTGCACTAGAGGTCAGGTGCAGTGGCTCATGCGTGTAATCCCAACACTATCGGAGGCTGAGGCAGGTGGATCACTTGAGGCCAGGAGTTTGAGACCAGCCTGGCCAATGTGACAAAACCCCATCTCTACTGAATATACAAAAATTAACTGGGTGTGGTAGTGTGCATCTGTAGTCCCAGCTATTCAGAAGGCTGAGGCAGGATAATTGCTCAAACCTGGGAGGCGGAGGTTGCAGTGAGCTGCGATTGTACCACCATACTCCATCCTGGGCAACAGAGCAAGACTCTGTGTCAAAAAGAAAAAGGAAAAAAAAAGTATATATATATGTATAGGCTGGGCACAGTGGCTCATGCCTGTAATCCCAGCAGTTTGGGAGGCCAAGGCGGGTGGATCACTTGAGATCAGGAGTTAGAGAGCAGCCTGGCCAACATGGTGAAACTTCATCTCTACTAAAACCACAAAAATTAGCCGGGTATGGTGGCGCACACCTGTAATCGCAGCTACTCAGGAGGCTGAGACAGGAGAATTGCTTGAACCTGGGAAGTGGAGGTTGCAGTGAGCCAAGATCACACCACTGCACTCCAGCATGGGCAACAGAGCAAGACTCTGTCTCAAAAAAATGTGTGTGTGTGTGTGTGTGTGTGTATGTGTGTGGCTAGAATGGTCCATAATATATAGCCAGCTCGAGTCCTAGAAAACCTAGCAAGCTTAAGGTTAGAGCTTCTCATTTTGGCCTTTTCAAGATTAAATCTCCTTTAGTAGGCCCTTCCCCTCTAGGGAGGTACTTGCCGGAGCGCTGCCTGAAGTTGGTTTTCTGATGCCCTGTTGTTTCTGTTCTGAATGGTTTATTTCTCATTATAAGAGCTCAGCAAAGCAGGCAGAGTTAAAAAGCAGAGACATGAAGGCTTTAAAATCATGGACTTCACTCCTACACTGAATCTCAGGTCCCCAGAAAGACAGAAACACCATGGGACCACAGCAAAGGCAGAAGGAGGAGTGAGAGAGGGAGGTGGACAGAACAACAAACAGGAGTTGGCTCTCATTTTTTCACGCGTGCCATTTTCTTTAGGTTTTTCTAGTTTATGGAGTCTCTTTGTTCCAGTTGAGCACACAGATAAACTAGAGATCTCAAGGCTTTTGCTGAGAACATCAAAGCCTTTAACCTCTGTTGGGCCAAATATTTAGACCAAAAATACAGACAGACACACAAAAGCCAGAACCGGACCAGATTGAGTAGCTTAGTGGCTACAGCCTTTATTCCCTTTATTCTTTAGGATACGAACTCAAACCAGATTCAGGGTTCTAACCCAACCAGGACCCCCCTGGGGTGAAACTGAAACCCCACAGTCTAGACAAGGTTGGGGGTCTTTTTTTATTTTTTATTTTTTTGAGATGGAGTTTCACTCTTGTTGCCCAGGCTGGAGTGCAATTTTGCAATATTGCCTCACCGCAACCTCCGCCTCTCAGGTTTAAGCACTTATCCTGCCTCAGCCTCCCAAGCTGGGATTACAGGCTTGTGCCACCACGCCCAGCTCATTTTGCATTTTTAGTAGAGACGGGGTTTCTCCATGTTGGTCAGGCTGGTCTCGAACTCCCAACCTCGGGTGATCCGCACACCTAAACCTCCCAAAGTGTTGACATTACAGGCATGAGCCACCGTGCCCGGCCTGCTTGTTCTTTTCATTTCATCCTGATCTCCGAATACAGAAGAGTAGCTGATTTGTTGTTCACTAACAAGCACAGAAGCTTTGTTACATTTACAGTGTCATTCTTGGCAAAACCTGAAGTTTTGCCTCCCGGGTTCACGCCATTATCCTGCCTCAGCCTCCTGAGTAGCTGGGACTATAGGCGCCCGCCACCTCACCCAGCTAATCTTTTGTATTTTTAGTAGAGACGGGGTTTTGCCGTGTTAGCCAGGATGGTCTCTATCTCCTGACCTTGTGATCCGCCCTCCTCGGCCTTCCAGAGTGCTGGGATTACAGGCGTGAGCCACCGCTCCCAGCCAGAAGCTCTAATTTCAATGATGATTGTGCTTTTTCTCTCTTCCTCAGCATCTGGCTCATGATAAAATTTCAGGTGTCTTGATGGTATCTAAATCAGTTGTTGATTCGGTCCTGGAGAAACAGAAGCATAACCTCTATGCCAAGTTATAATTTTACCTATTTCCCAACTTTTTGTTATTTGATCTCTCCACCAAACCAGTTGGTCTGCTTCTGTCTTTGCAGCTGGTTTCTGTAGATGCTGTTCAGCTTCTGGTAACATCTGGCCTTTGGGCAGGCTCAAAAATTTGAAAGTTAATGCAAGATTCAATTGTGTATGGGCTATCCCGTAATCCCTGTTTCTCCCCCTTTTTTGTTTTTTATTATCAGTTGTTCATCTGTATGAAATCTTAACTGAGCATTTTCAATTAACTGTGTGGAATGACCCATGTATGAAGAATCAGAAATCACATTAACAGGCATATCAAAAGCAGTCAACACCTCAATTACAGCTACAAGCTCTGCCTTTTGAGCTGAAGTATAGGGTGTCTGGAAAACTTTAGCTTTTGATCCAGAATAAGAACCTTTACCATTACTAGACCCATCTGTGAAACAATGAAAACGCTTAGCAGGCTGCAGGTTGTTTACTGCAGGAATTGTAAATGCAAACCGTTCACAGTCTTGCTCAGCTAAAAGGGTAGTAAAGAAACAGTCTTTTAAATCTGTGACTATTAAAGGCCAATTTTTTGGAATTATAGTAGAGAAGGGAATCCTGGCTGTTATATTTCCATAGGTTGTATAACTGAATTGATGGCTCTTAAGTCAGTTAACATTCTCCATTTACCTGATTTTTTCTTAATTATGAAAACTGGAGAATTCCAAGGGGAAAATGTTGGAGCTATGTGCCCATTTTCTAATTGTTCAGTAACTAATTTCTCTAAAGCATCCAGTTTCCCTTTGCTTAGCAGCCATTATTCTATCCAAATTGGCTTATCTGTTAACCATTTTAAAGGTATAGGTTCTGGAGGCTTAACTATGGCCACCATCAAAAATTGTATCCTAATCTTTGGCAGGAACTTTGTCTTTCCGTTTGAAGCAGTTCTTTCAAACCTTGCAATTTTTTTTCTACTCCTATACCAGGGACATGCCCCATTTCGTGCATCATATGTTGACTTTGAGGGCTGTATAATTGTTATGGAATTAGAACTTGTGCTCCCCATTGTCATAATAAATCTCTCCCCCATAAATTTATAGGTACAGGAGTTACAATTGGTTGAACAGTCCCAGGTTGTCCATTGGGCCCTTCACAATGCAAAGTATAGCTACTCTGATAAACTTCTGGAGCTTTAGCAGTTTCCACTGTGTTAAATTGAGTGGGTTGAATTGGCCACGTGGACGGCCAGTGCTGTAGAGAAATAATTGAAATGTCCACTCCTACCAAAAAAAAAAAAAAAAAAAGTATCTACCAAACCTTTAAAGTTCTTTCCCTGGATAGTTATTTCACAGGTAGGATGTTTATCAGTAATTTGATTTACCCAATAAGCTGCCTTGCCTTTTTTATTTGTGCTTCCAAATCCTCCAGTTCATTTAATTTCACTTTTTCCCATTCCCACATATGGCTCACTCAGGAGCTGTGCTAAGGCACACTCCTGGCTGTGCTTTCCAGGGAACAGAACTAAATATCACAATTTGAATTTCCTCATTGTAATCTGAATCAATGACTCCAGTGTGTATTTGTACCCCTTTTAAACTTAAACTAGACCTTCCTAAAAGTAATCCCATTGTCCCTCCTGGCAACGGTCCACAGACTCCTGTTGGGACCTTTGGCGGGGGTTCCCCAGGCAGAAGGCTCACAGCTTTTGTGCAGCATAGATCTACTGCAGCACTATGGGCTGTGGTGGGGAAAGATAACGTATGGGGGTGAGGGAATGGCCTGAGATGGAAATGCCCTGGTTTAGAACAGGGCCTGGGATGGGCCCCTCAGGGAGTTTCCCAAAATCGGGTTCCCTTCTTTATCAAACTTAGAGTGACACTGATTAGCCCAAAGTTTTCTTTTTTACATTTTGGACATATTTCAGGATCAGCAGTTTTGTTTTTTCCCCTATCTGGTGGCCTGACTCGGTGATTTTTTTTTTTTTTAACATTCTTTTTAGTATGACCATGCTTCCCACAGTTAAAACAAGCTCCAGGAAATAGAGTATTTCCTTTACCCACTCTCAGTCCTGCCATCGCCTGTGCCAACAAAGTAGCTTTATGTAGATTATCTCTGATATCATCACAGGCCTTGTTATAATCAACTAAATGTGCTTTCCCTCTGATAGGTCGCAGAGCAGCCTGGCAATAAGGATTAGCATTGTCAAAACCAATAACTGCAACACTATATCCTAAGCAGCCAAATCTGCAATCATCTTTTTAAGAGACTCCTGTAACCAAGCTATAAAATCCACATATGGTTCTCTTGGTCCCTGTTTTATAGCACTAAAGGAAGGGTATTGTTCTCCACATGAAGTGATTTATTCCAAGCTCTAATGCACACTCCTCTAAGCTGTTCTATGGCATCATCCTGCATGACCACTTGTTCATGTAAACCAGCCCTGCCACCAACCCCCAAAAGTTGGTCTGTAGTTATATTAATTTGAGGTTGGGCCCAGGCATTGCGAGCAGCCTGAATGGAAGCTTCATCTGCCTACTAAGTTTTAAATTGTAAGAACTGAGCAGGAGTTAGACAAGCTAGAGTAAAAGTGTCCCAGTCAGTAGGAATCATCCGACTGGAAACAGCAACATTCTTTAACAGTCCCATTTCAAAAGGAGAACCTGGTCCATACTGATTTATAGCTTGTTTAATTTTTTTGAGTAATTTAAAAGGAAAAGGCTCAAATGTAGCTATAATATTTCCCTGTTGATCTGGGGGGTGTATTCAAACAGGGAACTGCCAAGCCTCTAAATCCCACTTTTATCTAGCTTGCTGTATTCCTGCCTGAATAGAACTAAGAGCAGTCGCTCAAGGCGCTGCTCGAACAGTCACCAGGGCAACTACTTTTCACCCAGTGTCCTCCAGAAAAGAAAGATCTGGAGGGTCGCTTTCTTCAAAATAGTAATGAGGGTGTGCAGAAGAATAGGGATGAACCTCTCCCTCCTTTTCTGCTTTAGCTTTAGGTGACAAATAAACCTGGTCTGTAACCTCTGCTGTTACTTTGTTATACTCTCCTTCCTCCTCATCATCAGTGTGAAAAAGTTCCAAGG
The DNA here is from genome assembly GCF_000001405.40 of Homo sapiens. NCBI lineage: Eukaryota > Metazoa > Chordata > Mammalia > Primates > Hominidae > Homo > Homo sapiens. The sequence continues at coordinate 138,986 of NT_113888.1, forward strand.
TAGAACGAACCACAGCCCACACTTGTCCTATTGCTACCCTGATGCTTCTGAGCTCCCCTTCTTACTCACCACGAGGATTGCTTTAAGAGTACTCGGGTGTCCTCCAGCTAGTTCCACATTCTCCAATCGTTGCTCCAGCGATCCTTTGACCAGTATTTGAGCCCCCATGAATGGGCACCACTTGCTGAGACCAGGTCGGTTGGAGAGACCCTAACCCAGCAGCACTAGAGGAATTAAAGACACACACACAGAAATATAGAGGTGTGAAGTGGGAAATCGGGGGGGTTGTCTTACAGCCTTCAGAGCAGAGCCCTGAACAGAGATTTGCCCACGTATTTATTAACAGCAAGCCAGTCATTAGCATTGTTTCTATAGATATTAGATTAACTATAAGTATCCCTTATTCTTAAGGCACAGATCACTCATGCTATTGTTTGTGGCTTAAGAATGCCTTTAAGTGGTTTTCCACCCTGGACGGGACAGGTATTCCTTGTTCTCATTCCAGTAAACCCACAACCTTCCAGCGTGGGTGTTATGGCCATCATGAACATGTCACAGTGCTGCAGAGATTTTGTTTATGGCCAGTTTTGGGGTCAGTTTATGGCCGGATTTGGGGAGGCTTGTTCCCAACAGTTCCTCAGGGTAAGGGTGCCCTAACTCCTGTGGGGACCTTCTTTGGTGGCTCCCCAGGAAGTAAGGAGATGGGAATTGTGCTGTAGAGGTCTACAGCAGCACTGCTTGCTGAGGCGGGGGACAATTGCTGTACATTTGTAAGGGCAGTGGCTGTGCTGGGTATGCCTCAGTTTGTTGAGGGGCTTGAGGCGGGTCCCTCTTCCTATTTCCTGAAAGAGGTTGTCCATCTTTGCTAAATTTAGAATGACACGGACTTGCCCAGTGATTGCCTTTCTTACACCAGGGACGTACATTGGGACTTTTCTGTTGATTGATGGTAGTAGTTTTCATCTTTTGAATTCCTTTCTACATTCCTTTCTTGTGTCCAATTTGCCCACAATTAAGGCAAGAGCCTGAGAAATGAAACATATTTTTTCTTACTCTTAATCTAGCCACAGCCTGAGCTAAAAGAATAACCTTATGTAAATTATCTCCAATGCCATCGCAAGCCTTAATATATTTAGTTAAATGGGCCCTCTCTGTCTGGGATCTAATAGCAGTTTGACACTCTGCATTAGCATTATTGTATGCAAGAAGCTGTATTACAACATCCTGAGCTGTTTTGATCATTTACGGCTTTATACACAGCCTCTTGGAGCTGAGCAATAAAATTAATATATGGTTCTTTAGGTCCTTGTCAGACAGAACTGAAATAAGGATACTTTTCCCCGGTAACATTTATCCTTTTCTATGCATGTAAGCACATGAAGCACAGCTGAACAATGGCAACATCTTCCATTAGTGCTTGATTCTCTAATCAACCCCAGTTAGGGCCAACTCATATTAACTGATCAAAGAAAACAGGCACAGGTGGCTGCACTTGTGTGTTTTCTTTTGCCTGAGTTTGAGCTTCATCAGCCTACCAAGTTTTAAACTGCAAGTACTGAGATGGAGTGAGAACAGGTTTTGTCAAAGTATCTTAATTATATGGTAGTAATCTATTATCAAGAGCCATATTTTTAAATAAAGTTTGCACAAAAAGAGAGTTCAGTCCATATTGACTAATGGCTTGCTTAAATTCTTTAGTAACTTAAAAGAGAAAGCAGCCTAATTAGCTATATTCTGTCCTACTTGCTGGATTATAGTAACGGGAAATTGCCATGCTTCAAGGTCTCCCTTGGCTTTAGCTTTTTGAATAGAATTTTGTCTACCACCACCAATTGCTCCAGGTTTTAATGTTGTAACTACAGGAGCAGTAAGTTTTTCAGCTAATTTATTTTCTCACCCATTTAGAGGAGAGAGAGGAGGTGGCCATTCACTTAATTCAGCAGGTGGAGCCAACGGGCTAGTAAAACATACTTTTTAAAGTTTTTCTTTCTTTTGTTTAATCTCCTCTGGTAGCTGCTCCCCACACTCAGAATTTGAAGTTAGTTTTTTACACTCATCCTCCTCTTCCTCATCTGAGTCTGCCTCATCATCTGTTTGAAATGGCTCAAGGGCTGCCTTTATTAGTGCCCACACTGACCATACAGAAACTAGAATTTCTGCTCCATCTTTATATGCCTTTTAAAAAATCTCTTCCAATTCTCTCCCATTCATCCAACTTCATAGTCCTTTGTTCTGGAAACCATGGGCAAAACTGCTTTACTGTACTAAAGAGTGATAACAAATTCTAAGTACTAATTTTCATTCCCCATCTTTGTATGTCCTCGGGTGTCTTTTGATGTTGTGTCCTCTGCTTTCACATGCTCCAGCCTTCCTTCACCGGGTCTTTGTCACCCCATGTTGGGCGCCAGGAATGTTGGGGTGATCAGACCCCACACTAGGTCATGGGGGTGATGAAGTCCGGAAGAGTCAAAGGAATGAGAAAAAGACAGTTTGAGAGAGAAAGTGGGACCAGGAGACCATCACGAGTGTGGAGTCTGCAAAGTCCCCAAGCTCTGGGAGCCCACGCTATTTGTTGGTGCTCAAACAAACAGGTGGTGAGGATTTAGGGGTTGAAAGGAAATGGTGTATCAAGTGAATGAGAAACATATGGCCCTGCCTCAGCTTCTCTTCCAACACTCAGTTTTTCTCCCAACACATTCCCCTTATGAACAGGAATAAAATAGGGATGCCTGTTCTCACCACCCCTGTTTAACAAGTCCTAGCCAGAGCAATCAGGCAAGAGAAAGCTATAAAAGGTATCCAAATAGGAAATGAAGTCAAATTATCTCTCTTCACTGATGATATGATTCTACACCTAGAAATCCCTAAAGACTGTGCCAAAAGGCTCCTAGAACTGATAAAAAAAAACTTCAGCAAACTTTCAGGATTAAAAAAAATCAACATATAGAAAGAAGTATCATTTCTGTACACCAAAAATGTTTAAACTGAGAGGTAAATCAAGAGTGCAATCCTGTTTACAACAGCAACCCCCAAAATAAAATAAAAGAAAAGAAGAATATGTCTAACCAAGGAGGTAAAGGATATCTAAAAGGAGAACTACGAAACACTGCAGAAAGAAATCATAGATGACAAAGCAAATGGAAAACTATTCCATGCTCATGGATTAGAAAGATCAATATTGTTAAAATGGCTATACTGCCAAAAGCAATCTACACATTCAACACTATTCCTATGAAACAACCAATGTCGTTTTTCACAGAATTAGAAAAAAATATATTCTAAATTTCATATGGATTTTTAAAGAGCCCAGACAACCAAAGGAAACCTAAGCAAGAAGAACAAAGCTGGAGACATCACATTACTTGACTTCATACTATACCCTAAGGCCACAATAGACAAAATAGCATGGTAGCGATATGAAAACAGACACAAAGACCAGTGAAACAGAATAGAGAACCCGAAAATAAACATGCACCCACAGCCATCAGCTTTCCCAGGATAACACAAAGAGAGCCAAGTGGCACCTGCACATTACGCTGTGGAAGAAAAACCCAAGCTCAAGAAACCCCAACTTGTATTATGGGAAGTTCACTTGGCTGTACCCTTCCCAAGAGGGAGAAATTATCTGCATTATACTATACAGTAAATAAACTTTTCCTTTGTTCCAGAAGGAGGTACTGGTTTTCTATTCCAAGGCTGTTTTCTATACAAACATGCTTGAAAACAATCATTTGGAACAAGAAAGTCAGCGTCCATACTTGCAAAATGTGCGGAAATTAAAGAGACCCAAAAATTGTTTCTCTACCAATTTCTATTTTTTTAAAATCACATTTTCCCCATATAATAAGCTTTTAATATATGATAATATTCTGAAATTGTCTTAGCATTTACCCCCATTTCTGAGTCCAGAAGGATACAATAAATTTAATTTAATTTAGTAACACTTCAAATAGTAGTGATTGTAATAGCAGAGCTAGTTTGTAGCATAAAGAAAAAATAATAATATTAGGTGACACAAATAATGCTAGCCACCATTTCTAAGTGTCATGGTAAGTACAGTGATTATTTTCTTTTTTTCTGACTCTTTTTTATTGTATTTTTAATTTTTTTCCCATAGGTTATTGGGGTACGGTGGTATTTGGTTCCATGCATAACTTCTTTACTGGTTATTTGTGAGATTTGGGTGCACCTATCACCTGAACAGTGTACACTGCACCTTATTTGTTATCTTTTATCCCTCGCCCCCCTCCCTATTAAATAATAGACAAAAAATAATGGGTTTAGAATAAATGAGTTCAAATGAATTGTCAAACGTATGTGGGAAAAGTGGAATCAGTTTGTGAGAAAAAGGAAAAAAACTCAACAGAAATGCTGATAAAGCATCATCCCTTCATGGCTAGAGCTGCCAGGACACTAGAACACCAAAATCAGCTAGGGAAATTTTGTAGAAGTCCCAGATGTACTAGATGTTCTGTGAATACACAGAGATATAATTATAACTGTTACCTGCATGTAGAGTAAAGATGAGAAGGCATTGGTCATGGTGGCAGCTACCTCAGGAGTTACAAAGCAGACGTGGTTCCAGGACAGTGTATGTCAGGGCAAAGCTGTCCTAGTAGGCTATTAGGAGTTGGTTACGGCACAGACATTGTAAGTCAGATGGTCTCATTACTTTCAATGACAAAACCAAAATTACTTTTGCATCAGCCAATACAACGGCCTGGCAAGAGCACAGAAAAAGGCCCTGTGCTGTTAGGTGGGGACCTCTGATGCAGCACAATTCCTTCATTCCCTTCTCCAAAACCTCCTCTTCCAATTCCACTGAAGAGAGAATCTGATGGAAGTCCTGTGTAAGCAGGCTCAGATATATCTACCACTATAGATAGTAGAGGTGATTCATAAATCCAAGCCTATCAAATACATCATAAAAAAGTTACACGTTTAATTTTTTTTGAAATTAGGGATCATGATATGAAAGTTATCAGAATCAAAACTGTCAGTAATCTTTAAAAAGAAAAGAAAAAACCTGGACAAATAGATTCAGAGAAGGCCTTGAAGAGAGGGTTCTCATGCTTCTAGGCCTGATACAAACTATCACAAAATACCACAAAATCCACAACCTTGCACAAAGGCCATAGCAACCTTACACGAAATACACTTCTGTGAGGACATCTATCCAGCAACCACCTGCTCAAACTTCAACTGACATCGACCTTGTTGTTGATCTTTATAGTCAAAGATAACTATAACAAAACAATTATAGAAGCCTCTTCATTTTTCCTTTATTTATTTTTTTCTACTCCCCCATAATTCCAGGTTGATCGCTTTTCTTTTAAAGACCTTGTCTTCCTTTACCATTTGAATCTACACAGTTTGCTTTGTCATGCATATTCCCATTGCAGCGCCCTCCTCCCTAAGATGTGTCTTTTTCCTTTAGAGAACCTTTCTCTGTTTGTTATTTAGGTTTACAATGAGAAGGCGTGTAAAGTAATTTTACTGTCTTCCTAGGAAAAAATCACTGACTTATAATATTTATATTTATTTATTTACATTCCTGGGGATGAGGAATTAAAGATTTCACAAATTTTCTTATTGAGAAGATCGAAGTTTTCATGTGAGCAAAACTGAATATGCAAATTGATATGTAAATTATGCTGCAGATAATATGCTCAAATGTTTACTTGTATTTAATTTGTTACACATGAATATTGCATATGTAAGATAATATACTAAGAAATTATCACATTTAATGAAATGCTTTAATCAAATTACTGATTGAATTTTTGATATCAATATCTTTTTCCTTGTTTAATCCATCTTTAGAGTGAACAGGGCTGTCTAGGCCAAAGTCCTCACTTCTATCTAAATTGTCTGAGTTACAGAACTTTTTGAATTTATTATGTTGTCACAGGAAGTTTCTTATTGCCTTTTTAAAGGAGTTGCTCTCAATATGATGCGGAATCCAAAAGCACTGAAGGGCATATATCCTGAGTTTCTGTTACTGAAGCCAAAGGTTGCCAATTTCTTGTAGATCCTGCTAGAGTTAAACTTCATTTAAGTAATCATTAAAAGCTGCATTTATTCCCTCACTTGAACTTTTGATTTCACACTATTAGGACTAATCCTCTAAGTCTTTGCTAAGTTATGTTCCTCCTTTTCTTGTGGCTTGACTCTGATGCTCTCTATATGCAACATCAATTGATGTAAAGTACATTCAGGGCAAGAGAGTTTCTTTAAATATTACTTTGTTATTCAAAATAATCACAAAAGCACTCATCGTAGGAAAACTTGTGAGGACTCAAATATAGGGAAATACTTTTTCTTTCTAAGGCACAATTCTCTAAAGAAGTTCACCTTAATTTGAATATACATGGGAAAATATCCTTGTTCACTAATAGTCTATATTCACTCTGTTTTCTTCCCTCATAGACCAGCCGGTTCACTATTATTTTCCAAATGATGTTTGCCTCTCTAGAGTCCAGGCTATCTGCATATCTACTTTTTCCCACAAATTACTGTTTTGAATTGCACTGAATTCAATTCAAAGGGATGTCATTTATAAACAGTGCAAATATATACTGCACGAGGGATCTTAGAAATCATACACATGGTTTGATCCATAAGCTCATATGAGCGTGCAATGTCAACTTCTTTCATGTTTTTTTAAGTCCACTTAAATTCTATTTTAAGCCACCATCTGCCTGTGCTGTTAGGGCAGTTAGCCTTCAATCATTTTAAGATGCTCCTCTCTAAGTACCGTGATAATGATAGAGATATCACCAGTCAGGTGTCCTAGGAAGCCGACTCCGAGTTGGAGATTTGCATGCAAGGAGGTTGAAATGATATTCCCAACACCTGTGGAAGAGTGAAAGCAATAGGATTGGGCGGAGCAGGAAGTCGGCTAGAATGCAATCACTATCATGGCTGCAGTCCACTCTACAGGGATCTTGGTGAGTTTACCTAATGACCTCGAATTGGAGCAAGAAAACCAGGCCATTATATTTCTGTACCAAGCAGTTCTCGGATGTGGGATGCCCTGAGAAGGGACATGAACTTGGATGAAGGAACTTTACTGTGCTGTGAGTATTGTTGCCAGGAGTCAGCTGTCAACACTCCCAGGAGACGGGAAATTATGCTTTAGTCACTGAGGCGGCATCTAGTGTCAGACCACAGCCTTGTTAAACAGAGCCAGACTTTGGAGGATGGTTGGTGGGTTTAAAATTTGGGGCTTGACATCTTGTCCCCACAAGCTGCTGCTGGCCTCTTCCTTGTCCATTTCTGTGTGGCCTGTTTAGGCCCCCCAGCTTCCTGCTTCTTCTTTACCATATTTGGAATGCAAAAATCTACACGTAATTTGGCCCATGGTCCCTTCTGCTTAGACATATCCTTGTAGCTATTTTTTTTTTTTAAAGATGACTATGTCTTCTAGAATATTTCTAAGAAATTGCCTAAGTCACCACTGCTCACCAAGAGGCCTTTGTTTTTTCCTCTTCTTAACCATGGGAAAGGAATGTAGGAGGGTAGGGAGTGGATATTTTCTAACCTGGAAAAAACTCATTTTACCCTATATAATTTTTTTTAGCAAATTCCTTCTTTGCACTTACTCCACAATCTTTCCAAATTCTCCCAAATGCTCAAGCTTTTAAAAAACAAAAGACAGAAAGATAGCAGGTTATTAGGTTTTCCACCAAACCTTTTCTTTCTATTCCTTTACATCAGTGAGCTTAGAATAACTCTGCTCCTGGAACTGGGAAAGGGACTTGGGAAAAGAAAGAAAAAAAAAGCTCCCAAAGTTTAGCATCACAAAACATTATAGTCACTGCTATTTTATTATTTATTTATTTATTTATTTACTTTTGAGATGGAGTCTTGTTCTGCCACCAGGCTGGAGTGCAGTGGTGCGATCTCTGCTCACTGCAACCTCCGCGTCCTGGGTTCAAGTGATTCTCCTGCCTCAGCCTACTGAGTAGCTGGGACTACAGGCGTGTGCCACCACACCCAGCTAATTTTTGTATTTTTAGTAGAGATGGGGTTTCACCGTGTTAGCCAGGATGATCTCGATCTCCTGAATCTGTGATCCGCCCGCCTTGGCCTCCCAAAGTGCTGGGATTACAGGCATGAGCCACCGTGAGTGACCCTGCTTTGTAAGTTTTACATCATATATCCCCTGTGTTAGACCAAGAGCTTGTAAAAGCCAGAAGACATACACCAGTTATCGTTCAATTAGAGATGTTCACTGATAAAACTGATTCTTCCATCTGAGGGTGGTAATTGTAGTTACAGTAATGTAGATGACAATCTAAGTTATGTTCTATAAACTGTGTCACTGACATCTCAATCTACAGCTAACTTTGATTTTTTAAAAGCAGAGGAGTGGGTTGTATAGGTTTAGAAATACATCCATCAAGCTAGTTAAGTGAGATGGATTCAAGCCTTCAACTCACTGGAATATTTACCAAATTGACTATTCATTAGCTAAAGGAGCCATATAAACAAGGTACTTTTTAAAATTCAAAATTATGTAAGGTTTTATTTCCTTTTTATGTTGTTATGAATTGGATTGTAGAGGTTATAAGGTAAAATAAGATTACTTTTACAGTAAAACATACAACACATTGTCGCAAGAGGGCAGCCTTTGAACACGAATTGCTTCTCAGGCATTCCTTGAAATTTTGAGACAGTTACTTTAATTAACACAACAAAATAATAAAACACTACAGAGGATCTAAGAAGATACTTTGACTTATGCATATTGTTACTTTTTTATTACTGCTAGTGGAAGATGTAATCGACAAGGAAGGTAAGGGCTGAATTTGTTTTATGTAAAAAGACAAATTTCTTTGGGTTTTAGCTTTCAAACATCAAGATAGTAGGTCAATGTCTAAATGAGTGTATCAAAGTTCTCACAATGGCACATGTAAATCCACCTCTTGTCTACCCAAAACTCTAACCAAGCAAAGGCAAGTTGGAAGAATCAGACAAATGTAAGTCCCTAGGATACATAAATGCCACGGGATTTTATGTTTTTAACTTTCAACCTCCTAAGTTTCACTAAGAGACATGTTATTTGGAGAGGTTGCTAAAGTGTATTTGTATGATGTCTCTGTTTACGGTTGGTCTGGACCTCTTTCTGTCCAGTGGTTGCCCTCAACTGATGAGAGTCACCTCTCTAAAGATCATGCTTACGTCCCTGGAGCAGTCCGCAGCACTATCAATGTCTGACGTCCACCTTTTTCCAATTAATATTTCTGTACTTACTGAATTGGAAAACATACAGGTGTTTTTTGCCTGGTCACTTGTGGTTTTACAACACTCCCCCCGCTTCCCCACCACTGCCCCAGGTGATTTTGATGCCAGCCAAAGTGTGAGAACTACTGGCAGCTGCTGGCCGACAGCAGCAAAGGCCCAAATCCTCTGTGTGACTTCAAGACCCGTATCTGGTTTTCAGCCATATTTCCTTCTCCTTCTCACAGCTGAGTCCACTCCTCCTCCCTCACCACCTGTAGGCTATGCTTTCCAGCCTGTGTCCAGGATTAGTCCTGATGTAAGGCACGTGGGGTTTAAGGAGCTCTCTCTTCAGTCTTATTTCCACACCATCTCTGACAGATATATTCCAGTTGTAATCATGGGGCTACCTCCTCTTGTTTCCAGTCCCAATCTCGTTTTCTCTATCACATTCTACCTTGTAATAACCTAAATCTTCTGGTGGGCAAGCTTCTTCCTCAATCAAATTTGTGTTTATGATTGTGTTGGGGATTGGCATAGTAATCCAGGTACTGCTACTGCCTTGAAAGCGGAGACTGCATCCTTCTGTCTGGATATCTTGAGTTTCTGGATTGTAAACCTTATTAGGGCCCATTTTTCCTAGAATTGGAGCCTCTACTTTGTTCTTGCTACTTTAGTTCACCCAGAAAGCACGATCTCTGCCTGAATTTCAAAGTGTTGGCTAGTTTAAATATCCATTTGTGAGACTTTTGTCTTCCTGCGGGGTGATTTTTTCATCTTACATATCATTGCTAATCTTTTTACCTTGAATATAATTGAAATAGTTTTAATCTGTGTTACCAGCAACAAGAACCCCTTTTATGAGATGAAGAGGCCAGGTCAGTCTCATAACTTGTGTACCCCTCCGTGTGTTGAATTTATGTCAGAGCCAGGTTCTTTCCTATTTGATGTCTCTCACCAAATTCCAGTGTTTATGTCCTAGGAGGTGCCCAATAAATTCTAGAGTTGATACAAGCTGTAATTTTAGAGAAATTAAATTAGCAAGTAGAATTAGATTATATACAACCTAATCAACTTTTTTTTTTTCCCTGAGGATGACCAAGATTTGGGCTTCAGTGACAATAGTTATCCCCTAAATATTTATACTCAATCTAGGATCACCAGTAAAATGTTGAATAGAGGTGATGAACACACACATCTTTTTCTTGTCCTAATCTATGTGGTTTAAACATTTACGCTTTCACAATTAAATATAATATTGTTTATATGTTTTGTTGTGGATGCTTTCCACCACTTCTAGAAAATTTCTTTTTCTAACTTGCTGAGAGTTTTTTTTTTTAATCAGCAATAGATATTTCTCCAAAGAAAATATCCAAATTACCAACAGGTACATGAAAAAAATGCTCAGCATCACTAATCATCAGGGAAATGCAAATCAAAACCACAAAGAGATATTGCCTCAAGCCTGTTAGAATGGTCTGATTAAAAGAAAAAGATAACGAGTGTTAACAATGGGGAGAAATTGGAACACTTGTACAGTGTTTCTGGGAAAGTAAAACTGTGCAGCCTCTATGGAAAACAGTACAGTTGTTCCTCAAAAAAATTAAGAAAGTAGAACTACCATATGATCTAGCAATCTCACTTCAGGTTATTTATCTGAAAGAATTGAGATTGGGATGATTCTCAGGCTCATTGCAGCATTATTTACACTAATCAAAATGTGGAAATAAGGTTAATGTTTATTGGCAGATGAATAGATAAAGAAAATGTGGTATATTCATACAACGGAATATTATTCAGCTTTAAAACAAGAAAATCCGGCAATATGCAACATGGATGAACCTAGAGGACATTAATGCTACGTAAAGTAAATCAGTCACAGAAGGACAAACTGTATGATTCCACTTGTATAAAGTATCTAAGATAGCCAAATTAATTAGAATCACAGATTAGAATGGTGATAGCCCTTTAAGTTGAAATCAATTTTACATTCCTGGGTTTTGTAGTTTTGCTATCAGGATTCTGACTCATAAAACAAGTTTGGAATTCCCCCCTTCTTCTGAAATAATTTAAAAATTTTATTTTTTTAAAACGTTTGAAAGAATTCACCAGCAAAACTCTTTGGATGTGGAGTTTGCTTATTTTTTTATTTCTTTAGTTTTATGTTTTTATGTGCAGGTATTTGACAATTTAATTACTTTAATAAATGTCAATTACTTCATATATTCCATTTAATCTTGTGAAATTTTTTATAAGTTTCTTTTCAAGGAATTCACCCTTTCATCCAAGTAATGAAAATTAGTATAAAATGTTTCACAATATTCTATTATCTTGTTAATGTCTCTTGTGTCTACAACTGTACAATCTCATTAATCCCTGATATTTATAATTTGCGTTTTCTTTCTTTCTCACAGAACTAACTTTTGGCCATGTTAATTTTCTCCTGTGTCTGTTTTCTGTCTCATTGATTTCTAATTTCTGTTTTATTTTCTTTCTTCTACTTGTTTTGGACTTAATTTGCTCTCTTGTTTTAGATTTTCTTTTTAAGGTAGAAAATTAGTGCACTTGTTTTGAACTTCTCTTTTTTAGAATAAGCATTTATACAAAAAATTTACTCTGGGTCTGCTTAACTTATCCCACATATTTTGATATAGTATATTTTTATTTGTATTCAGTTCAATGTATTTTAAGGTGTTTCTTATGATTTCTTCCTTGAGCTAAAGGGCATTTTAAGGTGTATTTAAATCTTCCAATAGTGTAGACTTTCCTGGGTAGCTTGTTTTCACCCATTTCAACTCAATTTCATTATGGTCAGAAAGTATACTTTCTATGATTACAGTGTTTTGAAACTTCTTGACAGATATTTTGTGGTCTATAGCCTATTGATAAATGTTTCATGTGTAGCATAATAGAACATATATTCTATTTTCTTGGTCAATATCGATTAGGTCAGGGTGTTGTCAAAATTATTTTACCTTAACTTTCTTTAGTTATTCTATCAGCAATACAGCATTATGTCTTCATAATTACTTGACATTTTATCATTATGAAATAGCTTTCTGTTGTAATATTGCTTGTTTGGAGGTCTACTTTTTCTTATATTAATATAGCCACATAAGATTTCTTGTGCTTGTTGTTTCCTTGGTATACTTGGAAATTATTTAACTCTCAACTTATCTATACCATAATATTTGGCATGCATCTCTTATAGGTACTTTTATTATATAGTTGGACAATCAGTGTTTTATTTGGAGTATTTAAATTACATTTGAAATAATTATTGATAAGGTTGGAGTTAAGCCTACTATTTTTGCTTTTTTTTTTTTTTTTTTTTTTTTTTTTTTTTTTTTTTTTTTTTTTTGAGACGGAGTCTGTCCCTGTCGCCCAGGCTGGAGTGCAGTGGCGGGATCTCGCCTCACTGCAAGCTCTGCCTCCCGGATTCATGCCATTTTCCTGCCTCAGCATCCGGAGTAGCTGGGACTACAAGTGCCCGCCACCATGCCCGGCTAATTTTTGCATTTTTAGTAGAGATGGGGTTTCACCGTGTTAGCCAGGATGGTCTCGATCTCCTGACCTCGTGATCCACTCGCCTCGGCCTCCCAAAGTGCTGGGATTACAGGCTGAGCCACCGCGCCCAGCCTATTTTGCTCTTATCTTCTATTTGTTCCATCATTTTTTGCTCCTCTGTTCTTTCTTTCATGCCTTTTTATATTAACTGAACAATATTCAGCGTTCCATTTTAATTCCTTTATTGGCATTTTAGAAGAATATCTTCATATAATGTGGTGGTTCTCTAGGGATTGTAATAAACATCCTGGGCTTATCGCAGTCCACTTACTGTTAATAGTCAACGTTTTCATGGAACATAAAGAAAAGTTGTGGCAAAATTGTTGCGTTTAGTCTCCTGTCAGAGCTATTAATTTAGAATATTTTACTCTACATACGTTATCAATAGTACTCTTAATTTTTTATTTAAACCATCAGTTGTTTGTTATAAAACTAAAAGAAAAAAGCCTTAGTTTTTCCTGTTTATGCACATGCCATTCCTAGAGCTTCTCCTTACTTCCTGTAGGTCAGAATTTCCATCTGTTGTTATCTTTCTTTAGTCTAAAAAATTTCCGTTTGCATTTCTTGTATCTAGGTCTGCTAATGACAATTGTTTGAAGCTTTCTTTTATCTGAATAAATCTTTATTTTCTCAAGAATTACTTTTTCTAGTTATAGAATTTGGAGCTGACAGTTTTTTTTTTATTTTGAAGATGTAGTTTCATTGCTTTTTAAAGTGTCATTTCTGATGACAGGTAGATGACCTATTTGTTTCCACGTATGTAAATTATTTTCTCCCTCCCTTTAGCTACTTTCAAGATTTACTCTTTTTTTGCCCAGTGGTTTGACTATGGTATGTCTACATTTGGTTCTGTATATTTTTATTCTGTTCTTTGAGTTTCTTAAACCTGTAAGTTGATATATGCTGACAATTAGGAAAACTTTTGGTCTTTACTTTTTCAAATAGCTTTTTCTGTCTCATTTTCTTCTCTACTCTTTCTAGGAGTCCAATTATATTAGTGCTAGACTGGTCATATTTTTATTATTTTTCTCCTTTGTATTAGCTGTATTGGGAAATTGTTCTTGATCTGTTTTTAAGTGCACTGATAGTTTTTTCTGCCATCTTTAATTTACTGGTATGTGCATAAAATGACACTTTTATATAAGATATTCTGTCTCTCAGTTCTAAAATTTGTCCTATTATCCCTTTATCATTTTTACTTCTCTGTTGAGATTCTCCATATATTCTCTCTTATGACCATCTATTCCTTAAATCCTTGAATATGCTTATAATAGCTTATTTTAAATTTCTCATCTTCTAATTCCAGCATGTGGGCCATTTCAATGTCTTAATCCATTGTTTACTTTTTTTGTTATGTGTCATATTTTCCTGGTTCTATGTCTAGGCAGGTTAAATTATATGTTAGATTATGTGTATGATATTTTGTAGAGATAGGCTCTTTTATTTTCCTTTGAAGAGTGACTCTTTTCTAACATTAGTCTTCTTTCTGTAGTCAAACACCAAACTTTCACTCCTGAGCTATATGCAATGGTTGAAATCTCTGCTCTGTACTAGCAATTTAGCTGTTGTTTTTTGCTGGATTCTATGGAGTCTCTTTTTATGAATGTGAAATGTAGCAGCCATCATATATCTGAATGAAGTTTAAGTGCTGATTTTAGATTTTTACTCTGTGACATTCTCCTCTGTGACTTTCAGTTGTGTGAGATTTCCTCCCATGTCATTCAAATTTCCCAATTCTTCTTTTCTGTCAGCCTGGAACTCTGTACTCTTATTCCTCAAGCTAGTAAAACTCACCGCTTTACTCTTAGACATCTAATTTTGCACAGACTGGGAAGTGTCATCAGGTGTGAAGTTACATTGATGCAAATTTAAATCATTGCAATTTTCTTTATTCAATGGTCAAATACTTCATCAGTGGTTGAATATTCTACTATTTCTGCCTGTTTTCTGTTTCTCATTACCATCAAATGTGTATTTAATTTTTTTTAGAGTTAATAGTTTTTTTCCCTGCATTTGAGTTAGACCTGAGCTACTACCACATTTTGTAATTCAAACTTCTTGTCTAACAATGTTTTAAAAAACTCTTTATTTGGAGGGAATTCTCAAATTTCTAAATACTCTACAAACATTAGGATCAGGGCTCACATTCCCAGTTTCCCTTGTAGTCAGATGTGCATATCGAACATGGCCTCAGCTAATGAAGCATACCCACATATTTGAAAGTAAGAAAAGTGTTAAGAGGAACTGTAGATATCATTTTAGTTGATTTAAGGATGGAAAATAAATAACCAACTTTCACTGGTGAACTTTGTCTTCAATCATTGTTTTCCCGTGGGTAAGCGGCTAATTTTCTGGCCTAGAGGTGAAATTGGTGTGTTGGTAAGAATTGATTTAATGATAACCTGCTTTTGTCTTTTTAAAAATTGTGAATCCACCATTGTTTCTGGTCCTGTTTTATACTTATGCAGTGTATAATCTCTCATGCAAAATTTAGTTCTTTGTTTCTCAGCTTAAACTGGATTTTGATGAGCAGTTTTCACCTTCAAATGAAAGAAATGGCTTTGGTTGATGTTAGACAAAAATAACAAGAAGGAATTAAAGAAATTTGTTTGTCATCTTGTAACATTAAATAAATGAAACTGAAAATTCAACAATTCTGTTTCATAAAAAAGTAGAAAGTTTCTACTGTTTTTCATTATTTTCAAAGCTATATCATTAAATGAAATTTCTGCCTCATGGAAGGTTTTTAGAACTATGTAATAATACCATACAGACCATTAGGAGAGAAATGAATAAAGACTGAAAGAAGTAAGCACTGTGTGGTAACATAGATGGTGCACAGTTGTGTGTGTGGAGCCCTAATACATTTGACCATGGAATTTATACAATAAATGTCAGTTTCCTGTGAACCTGCTAATTAATATGACTTTCGCAGACCTTTCCTTAACCTAAACTGTTTAGGTTTCCTGTCGACAGACTGCATGTATTCTCACCTTTAACCTTTCCATAATCTTCCCTAATTACAGATGTCATTGGTTCTTAATAGCAAAAGAACAGCAGTAGCTTATAAAGTTATATTATTTGTTTTTTACTAATATGTGAAGTGATTTTGTCTTTCATTTCACCTCTAGAGCTAATTATGTCTTCTAGGTTAACAAAAATTCCAGATCATACCATCATTAGTTTAAACTTTACAATGAAATCATTATTTCCATTTATTACTAGCCTGCATTATAGCAATGTTTAGCTAATGAATTCTCAAAATATTTCTTGAAAGGTGAAAGAGTACCTCAAGTAAATGATGTAATTTATTTATTTATCAGAATTTTAAATTAAGTGTTCTGTTTAATCTCAAAGGGGTACCAATGAAGTCAGGGCATAAGGACTCTGGTTAATAAAACGGTAAGAATTAAAAAAGATTATTACATTTTTCCTCATACTATGATGGCTATAATTTTTAAAACAGTAGAAATGTTTAATTTTTAAAGGCTACTAGTGTCTATTTCATTCAAAGATGTGAGCTCTTCAGTTCAACTTGTTGTTTGAAATTTGAACAGCTTTTTCTTGCTTTTGTTCAATACAGTTATTTAACAGTCCAGGCAGGCCTCCGGAGTTACATATATGTATGTGGCTATGTGTGTATATATACATAGAAGTACAAATAACATATAAACAATTTACATAAGACTTTTGCTTTTGATGAAAATTCTTCTAAAAGTGAATATAAATTAATAGCATATGGAGCCTACAAAAATTGTCCAATAGGGAACTAGGAAAAGATAATTTGTGAAGAAAAAGTTTGCTAAAACAGACTTTTTATTTTTACATGTAATAACTTTATATTGAAGGGTTTCCAGAAATATAAAATGTTATAGGGCACTTATCCTGAGACACATGAAGGAGACAAGGGATAGAGCTAGGATGGAAGTGAAAATAAAGGACAAATAGAGATAGATACTTAAGTGGAAATGAAACACTGCATGTTCTCACTCATAGGTGGGAATTGAACAATGAGAACACATGCACACAGGAAGGGGAACATCACACACCAGGGCCTGTTGTGGGGTGGGGAGAGGGGGTAGGGATAGTATTAGGAGATATACCTAATGCTAAATGACAAGTTAATGGGTGCAGCACACCAACATGGCACATGTATACATATGTAATTAAATTGCACGTTGTGCACATGTGCCCTAAAACTTAAAGTATAAAAAAAAAATCATCAAACAGGAGGTAATTTCAAAACATGGCTTTTCCAGGCAGCAAATTTTCTGAATGTATCGCAAAAGAAGATAAATTGCATGTCTATGTAGATCATGTCAATGAAATAAACAATAAAGTTACTTATTGGAATATTGAAAGTGGTTGATAATAAATAAATTATTTATATTTATGGTAAAAGCAATAAACTTGATTTTTAGGGGGTTCAATGACTTCCTGAAAATATCCTCTCACAGATTTTCTCAGAGTGTCTAGTTGGCAAAAGCACAGCTCCAAATAGCTATTTCTGTCAACGTCTACAGAACATTTACAGTTTGATTTCTAAAAGTTTCCATTTCTACTGACCTTACAAATTTGTAAAGTGAATGCCCACCAGGACAAAATATTAAGTGATAAAATTAATTGGATCCTACAAGTGCAAATCTAGGCAAGGAAAATCTTCTTCCTTCTTAATGAATGATTTTTATGTCTCTTCATTCTTGTCCTTCTAGGTAGAGCAACACTCTGGAGACCTTCTTTTGAGGCATTTCACCACCAGAGTAAGTGTGATGTGTGAGTAATTAGTCCACCCACAGGGAGCTGGTGAAATTAAATTGGAAGTTATTTCCTAACTGGCATATCTTGGAGTAAAATTAATCTAATAACAGCTTTCATAAGAGAGCATAAGCTTAAAAGACAACATTTTTCATTCAACTTTACCAAACAAAGTGCAAATTTAGGTGTCCAGTTGTGAAGTTTTGTTGTGTGTGGATTGTACAGTGAAGGTACCAGTGGACAACAGTTGCTCATCAAGCAAGTTTATACAAAAGCTTTCGGACAAGTCCAACTCTAGATAAAATTCTAAAGTATTTCATGCTTGTGTTCAGAGTTTCTTTTTCTCTCTCCAAGGTAACCCACATATCAAAAGACATATGGGTTGTGGGTAGAACTTCCTAAAATTGCTGGTGAGAAGTGTGCCATGCATAAGCATACTTCACTAGCTTGAATTTTCTGTTAGTCTCACAGGCAACAATTACAATCCTGTATGATTTTCTAACTCCACACACTCCTGAACATAGAAAGACCAAGTAACATCCCTGGTTAAGATGTGTACAGGTTCCAAGACATGTCTAAATATATTCACCAAGAGGTTTATTATTTTCACAGTGGCATTCACTAAATCAGTTGTCAGTGTAGCATTACTCAAGGAATAAGCAGGGTCTTTAATTTATCAAAGTTTGGAGTGCACCCCAAGTTGGATCACTGAAGCACATAACTATAGATAAGATCACTCAAAAGCACAAATCCAGGTAATAAATATTCACTAGTAGTTTATATGCATTTAGCAATTTGAATGCTGGGAAGTGTAGCCCAGAAAATCAATCGACATGGAGCTATTAAAGAGGCATTCATGGCACCTGCACTTTGAATCTCTTCAGACTCAGGTTAAACAGGAGACATGTTAGCTCATGTATAGTGCAAAAACCCGTCCTCTTTCCCTTTTTATCTATGGACCTGCCCTTTTCAATGTTATCTAGATGCCTGAAGGTATGAATACCCTTGATCTTGGTAAAAAATGGTACCACCCGTCAGCAAAATCTCACTGATCAGTGTCTATGTTACCTCACTGAGTTAGCCTTTTGTGTTGTTGTGGCCCAGAATGACAATGTTGACACAATCCAAACCAGTAGTTGGGAAGTTAATGTTGGATGCATCTTTGACAATTGATGGAATGACCTGAAATCAAATGTGAGGCAGTGGAGACACAAGAATGCTATTCAGGAAGTTAGTGATCTGTGGAGATACTAAATGAAATATCTGGAAGGAAATGTAATCTTGCAACTATGCTTTTATGTGTTTTTTGACATAAACAGTTTCTATTTATGGTGGAGCTAGAGTGTCCATTTCCCATGAAGTTCCCTTAGTGTTAACTAATACAGTCATGTGTCACTTAATGACAGGGGTGTGTCTGAGAAATGCATTGCTGGACGATTTTATTATTGTGTGAACATCACAGAGTTTACTTACACAAACCTAGATGCTATAGCTGATTACATATCTAGGTTAGGTGGTATAGCCTATTCCTCCTAGGCTACAAACCTGTGCAGCATGTTACTGTACTGAATACTGTAGGCAATTGTAACACAACAGTTAAGTATATCTATACTTACTTATATCTATACAGTAAGTGTATCTATACATGTCTAAACATACAAGAGGTACAGTAAAAGTACAGCGTTATGATTTTATTGCACCACTGTCATACATGTGCACTATCCTTGACCAAAATGTTGTTATGTGATGCATGATTGTAACAAAAGAATTAATTAAATATAATATTGAAGTGCCTATTGAGATTTCAATGAAGAGAGGAATATTTGTAAATTCTGATTACCTTAAGTGGGAATTGACTTTCTTCCTGTTTCCATGGCTGTTCTTGTGAAAGAGCATAGCTTTCCAAAGACCTGAAATCTCTGACAAATCTTGCAATTCTCTATTGCCTGCATTATGAAGGTCACCTGGTATCAAATGAGGCAAAATGGTAGATTATAAAGACCTGTACTTGTCAGTTCCTAAACATAGCAAGCCTTGGTCTATCTTGAACATTTCTGCAGTTATAAATGAGCCTTGGGTCATGATTTTCTGCCTTTTTATCATAGACAAGATTTAATTTAGGAGATGTCCTTTTAATGTGTAATGTGAATAGTAAGTGACACTTATGAAGCCTATTTTCTTCCAGCCATTTTAATTGTCAAATCTGTCCAGTCAAGATGCATTGTTAGAGGCTTCACTGACAACACCGTCTGTGTGTGTGGCTGTGTGTGTGTGTATACATACATATGATTGTGCAGGATTTATTGTAAGTCAAAACAGTCTCAAATTTCTTTGGACAATACAGCTTCCTTGGCCATTCCCTTGGAGCTCTGAGTTGAGGAGCTGGTGATGTGTATTTCTCTTGCATGTTCTCCACATTATCCCTATGCAGGTCTTCCATGGGCTTGGTTTTGGAACCAGTGATGAGGAAGATCACTAGAATTGTTGTTGTCAAAAAGATTCCTCCATTCTTCTGTATAAGCAATGGCAATTTTCCCTGACCAATATTTCTTCTTTTGAAATGGTAAATTTTGAATATTAACTGATTAGTATAATCCCATAAAATAACAAAGTTTGAGCCCTATGATCTGTATTTTAGGCTAAAGTTGTGTTTTATGCTAAATCATCATTTACTCCATGTATGATCTTTTTTTTTTTTTTTTTTTTGAGACAGAGTCTCACACTGTCACTCAGGCTGGAGTGCAGTGGCACAATTTTGGCTTACTGCAAGCTCCGCCTCCCAGGTGCACACCATCCTCCTGCTTCAGCCTCCTGAGTAGCTGGGACTACAGGTGCCCACCACCACACCCAGCTAATTGTTTTTTAAGATTAAGGGCGAAATAAAAGCTGCTCCCCTATATTACATTCATAAATCAGAATTATTAAAGCAAGCTATTTATTTATTACAAACACATACTCCAAATTTAGCATCTAAGACATGACAGTCTTTCAAGAGACATCAATTTACTTTTTAGGGTCTATAGCTATATTTGTATTCATGTTATTGGTGTCCATAATATTTCATTAGATGTTCTGGGTAAATTGATAAATGAAAATAATGTATGTGATAAGGAGAACAACCTAGGTCTCCTGGAGGGCCCCTTACAACTCAGCTGGTGTTAGCAGAAATGCCTGGGTGTAACAGTGAGAAACAACCTTTCAAAAGTATTGAGCAATTTTTCAGGCAGAGGAATATGTATGCCAATCCAGGCAGCCAGATAAGTGGAGGTCAGTTAAAAGATCAGTGTGTGATTACATTTTTTTTTAAGGTTTCTACTGAGAGGAAATATAACACTCAGTTATTATTTTCTCCGCATATCTCTGGTTATTTTGTCACAACTTTTTATGTAAGCTACTACCAAACACTGGGTTATCCAAGATCTATGGGTCGTATTCAATATTTGCTTTTCCCTCAACTACTAACACGTTTGATTCCCTTTGTAACTTTCTCCCCTATTTCTCCTTTGAACCTGTTTTCCCCAACCACACTGAGTTAATAAGCCTCCTATATACTCTCATACCCTGTTTTATCTAAAGAGATTTCCTTTTTCTACTATTATACCCACCTCATTCCTTAATTTTTTCTTCTTATTTCTCTCTCTATTTTTTACTCTTTTAGGCACAGCTCATGTCTCATGACTTTCAAAAAGTTTTTCTTCTGATATTCCCAGCTCGAATTAGGTGTATCCCAATCAGTTTCCTTAGAATTACAAGTCTGCATATTATTGGCTTGCAATCTGTCTTAGGCTGGGAATTAGCTCCTTGTAGGCAGGGACTAGAATTTATTTCCTCTTATGTCCATAATGCCTGACACAGGAACTATTCTCACATACAAATTGTAGGGCCATAATTCCTGAGAACATATGTATATTTTAGTGACTCATAAAGACTTGAAATACATTTTTAAAATGATTAATTGGGAAGTCCATGAACTTGACATCTTGATGTAGAAGAAAAGCAAGGGCAGATGAAGAAGTTATACACGATACTTGAAATACCAGAAGAATATAATCAGAGAGCAATAAATTAATCCTAGATTTTTAGATGTGAAGAAGTTCTGAGAAATATTTGAAGACTTGGCTCTAGGGATGAGTACATAACAGAGACCAGTAGCCAGACTCAGAGCTTTAAAGAGTGAAGAAATGGCATTGCAGGGGGAAGGACTGTTGTATACTAAATAGAAATTGTCATTAAATGGAAGACTAAGCAAGAGGCTGATGATCTGTGGATGAGAGACCAAAATGGTGTGGAGATAGAGGTAAATGCCATAATCTACAAAGAAGATATTTTTGTGCCAGAACGAAATGATAGGTCTAGAATGTAATAAAAGATAAATAGTTAACTACATTGTAATGTGGTCTGAGAACTCACTGAAGGCATAGCCATTGATATTAACTTCCACTTTGCTTCCAGACAAAAGATTTTAAATATCTTAAAAATTACATTTGATATTGTATGATTCATCAAGACAAAGTAAAGCTGTAGTTGCCCTGGGCGGGTGGGGAATGGGGAGTCACTTTTAATGGGTACAGGATTTCAATTTTAAAAGACAAAAAGAATTATGGAGATGGGTGGTGGTGATGCTTGCACAACATTGTGAATACATTTAATGACACCGAATTGTATAATTAACAGTGGTTAAGATGCAAATTGTTGAGTGTGTTTTGCCACAATTAAAAAACAGAAAACAATAGTATTTGAAGATATAGCCCATTTCATCTGGTAGCTAGCTGTATGTGTCTGCTCAGCTGTGGATAGATATTTATGCTGTTTCTGAACTGGAGGTTACTGGTATTCTCTAAGGTATAGGAAAATTGATCTTATGTGGCTAACTGAGGTGGATATAGTTGTATCAGTCAGACAGTAATGATATAATCATGATAGTTTACATTTAACACAACTTACATGTGTTATACTTTAGAAAGCACTTCATAGATATTATTACTTCATACCATTTTCCCCTTACCATATTTGTCTCTCCTTTCTCTGCTGACTTCACAAAATGTCTGTTCCACACTACTCAGTTCATCTCCTTATTTTGTCAAAATTTTAAGTATCAGAGTCTCCAAAAAAAAAATTCCAGACAAGTCTCATCAGCTTTCGGTCATTGATTAATCGATGCTCTTAGAGGGTTTCCCTTCCCCTTCTCAATTTAACATAGCTTCCCAATTCACTTGCCAGTAAAACAACGTTGTTTATATGGTTTTTATTTCTTCCTGCTGAATTATGAACATTTTTTCATATTGACATTGATTTCCATCTGGCCATGAAATACTCAAGGTGAAGAAAATGAAACAAAATTGTTAATATTTATCAAGAGCCAGGTACTGTTTTCAGTGTCCTAGAAGCATAAACTAGTGTAATGCTCACCAGCTCATATGAGAGGCAAAAATGGATGAAACTATAAAACCAAGACACAGAGAGTTAAGGGAAATTTCCCAAGATCACACAGCCACTGAGGCTATGAACTAGATTTTGACTTCAGGCTGTTTACCCCAGAACCTGTGCTTTCATCCGTCATTTGTACTGCTTCCCTAAATTACACTTGAGTACACTGTGACATCAAATTTCACCTATGACACTGATTATCTGGGGAACTTTGCAACTTATTCTGAATATGACTCAGTTTTCTTTTCTGTACAGAGGTAAAGTCAGTATATACTCCATAGATTTGTTATAAGGATTATATGAAATGACACAAGAGAAGGCTTTAAAAGGACTTGGAAAGCAATAAGCTTTTTTGTTTTCAATCATTTTTCAATAGGTTATCAGTGTTGTGAATGGTTCATGAAAAATGACTTTGGGCTCAGTGAGTAACTGAAATGTTGTTGTTTAATAGTGTGTTTAATATTAATATAATAGTAAGAAATGTTGTTATTGTTGAGTAATAGTTATTTGGCTTTTCGCTGCTTTTCTTTTCTAGTGTTTTAGTCAGAGACTTCTTAAGTCTCCTCAAGTGTGTACACATTTCTTAAATTTGTTGGAAAGTACCAAATTTAAGATATCTTGCATTTTTTTTCTTCCTTAGTAAACACTAAATTCCATCACACAGCAGAAAAAGGGCTCTGTTATTGTCGGTACAATGGTTTAATATTCACTTTTATTCCCTATATCATAGTTCTGATTTAATTACTATTTAGAATAAAACTTGTTCCTTATTATATGCATTCATAATTATAAAATTTGTGTTTTAATGCCTTCTACAAATATACTGTGCTTTTCTTTATTTCCTTATATCTTTTACTGTTGTATGATCCTGGTATTTGAAATCTCATTAAGTGTTGTTTGGGGATTTGCTGGGAATGTCATCTACATAGTAATGTCTCAAGTTTGTAGCATCTTTAAAACATAATAGGAGACGGAATTCACAGCAGAGTAATAAGCCTCCCACTTTAGGCAATATATTTGTGATTGACATGACTTTGTTCCCAGAGGGCAGTTAGCAACACAATATTATGGCTATGTGTACAAGGAAAACAAATTTTAAAAATCTCCTTTAAAAAAAACAGTTCCCAATCCTAACCAGTATCATGCACAGAATCCGTTTCCACCTCTTCATATGGAAGCAGCTCTGGGTGGACATCTAGAAAGTTGGATAACTATTTATCACATATGATCTGCAAAGGGAGAGATTTACAAGAAAGTATTAAATTTGATCCATAGGAAAGCAAAATCAAAAATCAATGAATTTTCCATTTGTAGTTTTCCCTAGGGGCTCTAATCTCAAGATGGCTTAAATGCATTAGAATTCAATGACTAGGCACAATTGTTTGTTAGTGACATAAAAGCAAGGTAAGCATTTCTGCTTTATGAGTCCAAGCACAGGGACACTTGGTTTTCTTTGGAAGGATATCATAAAGGCAATGTTTATGAGTAATCCCTCATTGTCTTTTCTTCTGTAACATTCAATGCTATGTACTAAAATTTAGAAATGAAAACTACTTAAAGACCACCTGCTAAGTTTCATGTATTTCAAATTCTCAGATCCTGAGTGTTTAAATATGTCTGTATTTCTTCATGAAAAAAACATAATCTTTGCCAAGTTAGAAAAAGAAAAACTCATATTCCCATTTTTAACTAAAGGTAATCAGAAATTTGGACAGTTTTTAGCCTTCAATACATTATGTAATTTGGGTAACAGGCTGAATAAAAGTAAGGAACTTCAGTTAAATTCAGAGAGAAGCTAGTAATTATTTCTAAGACTCAAATGTATAGAACAGATCTCTGATATTAAGGATAAGACCCTCAAAGGTGACACAAAATGGGTAATTGTGGGATTATTTTAGGAGGAATCATCATATATTCTTACTGCTATAAATACAGTCAAATGTCAGATAAATATACTCCACTGAAATGTTTTCTAGGAATGATGTTGGAACCAATGTTGATAATTTTGAAAGTCATGGAGAGGATTTCAGATGATAGAAGTCGGGCAATTATCCCAGGTTTAATAAATAAGCAAATGGTGAGTTCCAAAGCTGCTGTATCAGTGAGCCTCATATTGATCCTGAGCACAATTTCCGAAAGGTCCATTAAATGGGTCTTTGGAGAGCACTTAGGATAAGAGGCTGGCAGCAGAGATTCACTAAGAACAATGGTGCCAAGCTTGCCTCTTTGACATTGTTATCTGACTGATAAAGGTAGGCTATAGCGGTACACAATACAGATATTTCCAGGGTAAAGCTGTTGAGCTGCTGTAATTTTCCTTGCCTCTTCACTATCTTCTCCTATAGTTGACTCCCAAGGAAAAGATAGTTGACTTTTAATCTAGAAATGTATGTTAATTGGCAAAAACAAACAAATGAAACCATAAAATATCCTTTAGGCTTCTCTCTGCTCAGTTATTAGATCATATGAATGTGCCCTTAGGAAACACAGAAGGCCCACACTATTATAGAGACAAATTTCTTACATTTTCTGCTGTTTAATGCTCTTCAAAAGACTTACCATACTTCACTAATTTGATTACCAACTACTTGAACACAGGGACCAATGTGTTTATTAAAAATTTTGCATATTATGAGGGCATTAACTTTTAATTATTCAATTGTTAAGACAATGCATATTATTATAAACCATAGAAGGCACACTTATTACCTCCTTAAGAACCAGTCTCTATTTCTCTGGTTCATAGATCTCCAAGGTTATAGAGGGATTGGACATTTGTGTCTTCAATTGGCCCTCTTCAGCCCTAGGATAAATAGTGATTAATCTAAGCCAATGGTTTTCGGCTCTGTCTGACCCAATGCCTCTACTTCATAAGAAATTCTTCAAAGACCCCTTCGCTATTCTAAATTATTAGTGAGAACACAATGTATGCATTCAAGTTGTTGAAAATATTAATGTTATGCTGAAGCTAACAAAGGAGAAATAATTTACTGTCAATATATAATCCAAAATGTATATAATTGTGCCAGAACATTTACATATCAAATACAATAGAACATAATGAAATTTTCATATCTTCGCCCATACCTTGAAACATTGTAAATAAAAAGTTACAAATATAGTTTCATTGAATAACCAAATGCCAAAACTGCCATTTCTATTGTTGACATGATTGAACTGCATTGGTAAATGTAATAGATACTTTCTGTTTGGCCCTTGTCCCCTGTTATACTCCCCTATTTACTGGCTTTTGTCCAAGTGGAATGGTCCATATTGAATATCTCCATCGGTTCCCTTGCTCATTGCCTTCTATGCATGTTCATGAGATTAAAGGGAAGGAGGAAATGGGATTGGGGGTTATTGCCTAAACTCCCTCTCTGCTAGGTCTCCTGGACCAATCTTTTTCATAAGAAAATTAGTGGGCCGGGCGCGGTGGCTCACGCCTGTAATCCCAGCACTTTGGGAGGCCGAGGCGGGTGGATCATGAGGTCAGGAGATCGAGACCATCCTGGCTAACAAGGTGAAACCCCGTCTCTACTAAAAATACAAAAAAAATTAGCCGGGCGCGGTGGCGGGCGCCTGTAGTCCCAGCTACTCAGGAGGCTGAGGCAGGAGAATGGCGTGAACCCGGGAAGCGGAGCTTGCAGTGAGCCGAGATTGCGCCACTGCAGTCCGCAGTCCCGCCTGGGCGACAGAGCGAGACTCCGTCTCAAAAAAAAAAAAAAAAAAAAAAAAAAGAAAATTAGTGTTTCCTTCTGTGATCAGGGCAGTTTACTCCCCAGAACTCTGCCTGCCACTGCTAAACCAGAGTTATTGTGGGGTGTGATTTCTGTGATTCCTTCACCCTTCTCCCCTGACATTTTCGTAAGTAGTCTCTTTGGAAATAAACCCAAGTTAAATTATCTTAGTTTGTGTGTGTTCTATTTTTCCTATTGAGACTCTGAAATGAGTATCTAAATGAAAAAATCTACCATCTTTTCTCATATACATAGTAGTTTCATTCTTGCAAAATTCATGGCATATTAAAACCATGCGAAAGTACTTGGCACTTAGGCAGTTACATTTGGGATTGTATAATTAAACAAAGCAGGTTATTCACCTTCATTACATTAGAAAGTCATTCAGGACATACAGCAATCCTTAATTAGGAGCGGCTATCCCATGTTACTGGACATATGGCATCCCTGTTTTCCAATCCTTAAAGTTTTTCCTTAAAGTTCCAAAATGCCGTCACTTATTATTTCCTGCCATTGAATTTTGTCACATGAAGTTGTAAGGCTGGGAATGCCATAGCCATCTTGAAAACATAGGTAGAAAGATAAGATAATCACAAAGAAGTGGATCATGTTGAATTAACTAAACATTGATACCATCTATTTGTTGTGCGATTTGGTCAAAGTTGCTCCTTGTTTTTTTCTTCAATTAGTTGACTATTCTGTTACTTGAAGCTAAAAACATTTTTTTCTTTTCTTTCTTTCTTTTTTATTTTTGACAGAACCTTACTCTGTTGCCCAGGCTGGAGTGCAATGGCATGATCTTGGCTCACTGCAACCTCTGCTTGCCTAGTTCAAGCAATTCTCACACCTCAGCCTCCCTAGTAGCTGGGATTACAGGCACATGCCACCACACTCAGATAATTTTTGTATTTTTAGTAGAGATGGGGTTTCACCCTGTTTGCCAGGCTGGTCTCAAACTCCTGACCTCAAGTGATCTGCCCACCTCAGCCTACCAAAGTGCTGGGATTACAGGTGTAAGCCACTGACCCTGCCCAAAAACATTTTAACCAATAGCAAAGCACATTATTTCATTATATTTTTTCAAAAGTTGCCAGTAATTTCAATTAAAAATATTATATAACATGTTTAATGCAATACAAATGCTTTTCAATGTACAATGGGGTTAAGTCTTGATAAGCTGATTATAAATTGAAAATACAGTAAGTTAAAAATGTATTTAATATCTAACTTACTGAATATCACAGCTTAGCCTGGCATACCTTTAATGTGCTCAGAACACTTACATCAGCTGACAATTGGGCAAAATCGTTGAATACAAAACCTGCTTTATAATAAAGTATTGGATATTTTATGTAATTTGTTGAATATTGTACTGAAAGTGAAAAGCAGAATGGTTATATTCTATTCAAAGCTATCACTTTTGCTTCATCATAAAGTAAAAAAAATCATAAATTGAAGCATTATCAGTTGTTGACCATCTGTGTATATGTATGTGTGTGTGTACCTATATAAACATGTATGTTTATATATATATTTGTGTGTGCATATAACCTCGGTGTGTGTGTATGTGTGTTTGAGAGTGTGTGTGTGTGTGTGTGTGTGTGTGTATGAAATTGTAGGGAAGTAAAATTTCTTATCTTATAGATATAGCATGTTAACATGTTGGTACCTATCCTCCTGAGATGTAAAATTTTACATGGATAGATGTGTACATTTACAGTTGTACACAAAGAGAAACATATTCTGTAGGCTCTTTGTTTTTCTGCAGTTTCATTCAACACTATCTGGTTTATATGGGTGATTACATATATAATGCTAGGATTAAGGTTCTTCTCTATAACTTTGAAACTTCCTTGATTATCAACCCTTGGTATATTCTTAGAATAGGATTTTATTTTAGAATTAAGATCCTTGTTTCAGGACTCTAGACTGTTAACACACAGAGCCAATAATTATTCAGAATGGTTGGGTTAGTTCACATTCCCACAGAGGAGACATCAAATGTCCAGGCTGCACAGCCTCATTAACACTAGATTTTCTGGACATTTTATATAGTATTTCATCTGATATAAAAAGTAGAATTCTAATTTGATTATGGCTGTTAATTTATTTTTACATTTTTAGTCATTATGAAAATGTTTTACTATATGAAAAGCCAGGAAAGGGTTTTTTTTTTAAGGTAGTACTTCAGAAATATTTATGATACTTAATTTTTAAAAATTAACTCTAAAAGAATCTTGAAATGTCTGTTTAATAAAATAGGACATAAATACTGGTCACATTAGTGAAAAATATTTGTTTAAAATTAAAATATCTGCAGCAATCCTGTAGATATTAATAAGTTTTTAAAGAATGACATCTTCAAAATATAACTGTTCTAAACTAATATGTCTCCATTAATACATATAGATACATATATCTAAATAAATTTGAAGACTTCAAATTCCAGGTACAATATAATTTTTTTCTATCCTTTGATTTGTCATTCAGGATTTTGTAATTTGAACAGAAATATTTTGCCCTAACCACATGTCTGTCTTTTCTCTTACTAAAAATATTATTTTATGTAAAATTGTTTTAAAGGTCAGTTAGCACGTTTGAAAAGCATCTTGTACAATGTTACATAATATATTGCATATTTGGTTACATTGTTTTAACTGTGTAAATATGGTTTAAATCTGTGATGCTCTTTAGTGCTGATCATGATGCAAATCAAATTTATCTTTATAAAAGGCTCCTGTTAATTTTTTTTATTATACTTTAAGTTTTAGGGTACATGTGCACAACGTGCAGGTTTGCTACATATGTACACATGTGCCATGTTGGTGTGCTGCACCCATTAACTCCTCATTTAACATTAGGTATATCTCCTAATGCTATCCCTACCCCCTCCACCCACCCCACAACAGTCCCCGGTGTGTGATGTTCCCCTTCCTGTATCCATGTTTCCTCATTGTTCAATTCCCACCTATGAGTGAGAACATGTGGTGTTTGATTTTTTGTCCTTGTGATAGTTTGCTGAGAATGATGGTTTCCAGCTTCATCCATGTCCCTACAAAGGACATGAACTCATCATTTTTTATGGCTGCATGGTATTCCATGGTGTATATGTGCCACATTTTCTTAATCCAGTCTATCATTGTTGGACATTTGGGTTGGTTCCAAGTCTTTGCTATTGTGAATACTGCCACAATAAACATACGTGTGCATGTGTCTTTAGAGCAGCATGATTTATAATCCTTTGGGTATATACCCAGTAATGGGATGGCTGGGTCAAATGGTATTTCTAGTTCTAGATCCCTGAGGAATCACCACACTGACTTCCACAATGGTTGAACTAGTTTACAGTCCCATCAACAGTATAAAAGTGTTCCTATTTCTCCACATCCTCTCCAGCACCTGTTGTTTCCTGACTTTTTTATGATCGCCATTCTAACTGGTGTGAGATGGTATCTCATTGTGGTTTTGATTTGCATTTCTCTGATGGTCAGTGATGATGAGCATTTTTTCATGTGTCTTTTGGCTGCATAAATGTCTTCTTTTGAGAAGTGTCTGTTCATTTCCTTTGCCCACATTTTGATGGGGTTGTTTGTTTTCTTCTTGTGAATTTGTTTGAGTTCATTGTAGATTCTGGATATTAGCCATTTGTCAGATGAGTAGGTTGCAAAACTTTTCTCCCATACTGTAGGATGTCTATTCACTCTGATGGTAGTTTCTTTTGCTGTGCAGAAGCTCCTTAGTTTAATTAGATCCCATTTGTCAATTTTGTCTTTTGTTGCCATTGCTTTTGGTGTTTTAGACATGGAGTCCTTGCCCATGCCTATGTCCTGAATGGTATTGCCTAGGTTTTCTTCTAGGGTTTTTATGGTTTTAGGTCTAACATGTAAGTCTTTAATCCATCTTGAATTAATTTTTGTATAAGGTGTAAGGAAGGGATCCAGTTTCAACTTTCTACATATGGCTAGCCAGTTTTCCCAGTACCATTTATTAAATAGGGAATCCTTTCCCTATTTCTTGTTTTTGTCAGGTTTGTCAAAGATCAGATAGTTGTAGATATGCGGCATTATTTCTGAGGGCTCTGTCCTGTTCCATTGGTCTATATCTCTGTTTTGGTACTAATACCATGCTGTTTTGGTTACTGTAGCCTTGTAGTATAGTTTGAAGTCAGGTAGCATGATGCCTCCAGCTTTGTTCTTTTGCCTTAGGATTGACTTGGCAATGCAGGCTCTTTTTTGGTTCCATATGAACTTTAAAGTAATTTTTTTCCAATTCTGTGAAGAAAGTCTTTGGTAGTTTGATGGAGATGGCATTGAATCTTTAAATTACCTTGGGCAGTATGGCCATTTTCACGATATTGATTCTTCCTACCCATGAGCATGGAATGTTCTTCCATTTGTTTGTATCCTTTTTTATTTCATTGAGCAGTGATTTGCAGTTCTCCTTGAAGAGGTCCTTCACATCCCTTGTAAGTGGTATTCCTAGGTATTTTATTCTCTTTGAAGCAATTGTTAATGGGAGTTCACTCATGATTTGGCTCTCTGTTTGTCTGTTATTGGGGTATAAGAATGCTTGTGATTTTTGCACATTGATTTTGTATCCTGAGACTTTGCTGAAGTTGCTTATCAGCTTAACGAGATTTTGGGCTGAGACGATGGGGTTTTCCACATTCACAATCATGTCATCTGAAAACAGGGACAATTTGACTTCCTCTTTTCCTAATTGAATGCCCTTTATTTCCTTCTCCTTCCTGATTGCCCTGGCCAGAACTTCCAACACTATGTTGAATAGGAGTGGTGAGAGAGGGCATCCCTGTTTTGTGCCAGTTTTCAAAGGGAATGCTTCCAGTTTTTGCCATTCAGTATGATATTGGCTGTGGGTTTGTCATAGATAGCTCTTATTATTTTGAGATACGTCCTATCAATCCCTAATTTATTGACAGTTTTTAGCATGAAGATTTGCTGAATTTTGTCAAAGGACTTTTCTGCATCTATTGAGATAATCATGTGGTTTTTGTCTTTGGTCCTGTTTATATGCTGGATTACGTTTACTGATTTTCATATGTTGAACCAGCCTTTCATCCCAGGGATGAAACCCGCTTGATCATGGTGGATAAGCTTTTTGATGTGTTGTAGGATTCTGTTTGCCAGTATTTTATTGAGGATTTTTGCATCACTGTTCATCAAGGATATTGGTCTAAAATTCTCTTTTTTTTTTTGTCTCTGCCAGGCTTTGGTATCAGGATGATACTGGCCTCATAAAATGAGTTAGGGAGGATTCCCTCTTTTTCTATTGATTGGAATGGTTTCAGAAGGAATGGTACCAGCTCCTCCTTGTGCCACTGGTAGAATTTGGCTGTGAATTCATCTGGTCCTGGACTTTTTTTGGTTGGTAAGCTATTAATTATTGCCTCAATTTCAGAGCCTGTTATTGGTCTATTCAGAGATTCAACTTCCTGGTTTAGTCTTGGGAGGATGTATGTGTCGAGGAATTTATCCATTTCTTCTAGATTTTCTAGTTTATTTGTGTAGAGGTGTTTATAATATTCTCTGATGGTAGTGTGTATTTCTGTGGGATTGGTGGTGATATCCCCTTTGTCAATTTTTATTGCATCTATTTGATTCTTCTCTCTTTTCTTCTTTATTAGTCTTGCTAGTGGTCTATCAATTTTGTTGATCTTTTCAAAAAACCAGCTCCTGGATTCATTGATTTTTTGAAGGGTTTTTTGTGTCTCTATTTCCTTCAGTTCTGCTCTGATCTAAGTTACTTCTTGCCTTCTGTTATCTTTTGAACGTGTTTGTTCTTGCTTCTCTAGTTCTTTTAATTGTGATGTTAGGATGTCAATTTTAGTTCTTTCATGCTTTCTCTTGTGGGCATTTAGTGCTATAAATTTCCCTCCACACACTGCTTTGAATGTGTCCCAGAGATACTGGTATGTTGTGTCTTTGTTCTTGTTGGTTTCAAATAACATCTTTATTTCTGCCTTCATTTCCTTATGTACCCAGTAGTCATTCAGGAGCAGGTTGTTCAGTTTCCATGTAGTTGAGTGGTCTTGAGTGAGTTTTTAAATCCTGAGTTGTAGTTTGATTGCACTGTGTTCCGAGAGACAGTTTGTTATACTTTCTGTTCTTTTACATTTGCTAAGGAGTGCTTTACTTCCAACTATGTGCTCAATTTTGGAATAGGTGTGGTGTGGTGCTGAAAAGAATACATATTCTGTTGATTTGGGGTACAGAGTTCTGTAGATGTCTATTAGGTCTGCTTAGTGCAGAGCTGAGTTCAATTCCTGTATATCCTTGTTAACTTTCTGTCTCGT
Source organism: Homo sapiens (assembly GCF_000001405.40). Classification (NCBI taxonomy): domain Eukaryota; kingdom Metazoa; phylum Chordata; class Mammalia; order Primates; family Hominidae; genus Homo; species Homo sapiens. The sequence continues at coordinate 172,010 of NT_113888.1, forward strand.
TGATCTGTCTAATGTTGACAGTGGGGTGTTAAAGTCTCCCATTATTATTGTGTGGGAGTCTAAATCACTTTGTAGGTCACTAAGGACTTGCTTTATGAATCTGGGTGCTTCTGTATTGTGTGCATATATATTTAGGATAGTTAGTTCTTGTTGAATTGATCCCTTTACCATTATGTAATGGCCTTCTTTGTCTCTTTTGATCTTTGTTGGTTTAAAGTCTGTTTTATCCGAGACTAGGATTGCAACCCCTGTCTTTTTTTGTTTTCCATTTGCTTGGTAGATCTTCCTCCATCCCTTTATTTTGAGCCTATGTGTGTCTCTGCACGTGAGATGGGTTTCCTGGATACAGCACACTGATGGGTCTTGACTCTTTATCCAATTTGCCAGTCTGCACCTTTTAATTGGAGCATTTAACCCATTTACATTTAAGGTTAGTATTGTTATGTGTGAACTTGATCCTGTCATTATGACGTTAGCTGGTTATTTTCCTCGTTAGTTGATGCAGTTTCTTCCTAGCCTTGATGGTCTTTACAATTTGGCATGGTTTTACAGTGGCTGGTACCAGTTGTTCCTTTCCATGTTTAGTGCTTCCTTCAGGAGATCTTTTAGGGCAGGCCTGGTGGTGACAAAATCTCTCAGCATTTGCTTGTCTGTGGAGCATATTATTTCTCCCTCACTTATGAAGGTTAGTTTGGCTGGATATGAAATTCTGGGTTGAAAATTCTTTCCTTTAAGAATGTTGAATATTGGCCCCTACTCTCTTCTGGCTTGTAGAGTTTCTGCAGAGAGATCAGCAGTTAGTCTGATGGGCTTCCTTTTGTGGGTAACCCGACCTTTCTCTCTGGCTGCCTTTAAAATTTTTTCTTTCATTTCAACTTTGGTGAATCTGACAATTATGTGTCTTGGAATTGCTCTTCTCTAGGAGTATCTTTGTGGCATTCTCTGTATTTCCTGAATGTGAATGTTGGCCTGCCTTGCTAGATTGGGGAAGTTCTCCTGGATAATATCCTGCAGAGTGTTTTCCAACTTGGTTCCATTCTCCCCGTCACATTCAGGTAAACCAAATAGACGTAGATTTGTTCTATTGACATAGTCCCATATTTCTTGGAGGCTTTGTTCATTTCTTTTTATTCTTTTTTCTCTAAACTTCTCTTCATGCTTCATTTCATTCATTTCATCTTCCATCGCTGATACCCTTTCTTCCCGTTGATCACATCGGTTACTGAGGCTTATGCATTTGTCGTGTAGTTCTCGTGCCATGGTTTTCAGCTCCATCAGGTCCTTTAAGGACTTCTCCACATTGGTTATTCTAGTTATCCATTCGTCTAATTTTTTTTTTCAAAATTTTTAACTTCTTTGCCATTGGTTCGAACTTCCTCCTTTAGCTCGGAGTACTTTGATCTTCTGAAGTCTTCCTCTCTCAACTCGTCAAAGTCATTCTCCGTCCAGCTTTGTTCCATTGCTGGTGAGGAGTTGCATTCCTTTGGAGGAGGATAGGCACTCTGATTTTTAGAGTTTCCAGTTTTTCTGCTCTTTTTTTCCCCATCTTTGTGGTTTTATCTACCTTTGGTCCTTGAAGATGGTGACATACAGATGGGGTTTTGGTGTGGATGTCCTTTCTGTTTGTTAGTTTTCCTTCTAACAGTCAGGACCCTCAGCTGCAGGTCTGTTGGAGTTTACTGGAGGTCTCCTCCAGACACTATTTGCCTGGGGGGTATCAGCAGTGGTGGCTGCAGAACAGTGGATATTGGTGAACTGCAAATGCTGCTGCCTGATCGTTCCTCTGGAGGTTTTGTCTCAGAGGGGTACCCGGCCATGTGAGGTGTCAGTCTGTGCCTACTGGGGGGTGCCTCCCAGTTAGGCTACTCGGGGTTCAGGGACCCACTAGGTGGGGGTTGTCTGCCCGTTCTCAGATCTCAAGCTGCATGCTGGGAGAACCACTATTCTCTTCAAAGCTGTCAGACAGGGACATTTAAGTCTGCAGAGGTTATTGCTGTCTTTTGTTGGTCTGTGCCCTGCCCCCCGAGGTGGAGCCTACAGAGGCAGGCTGGCCTCCTTGAGCTGTGGTGGGCTCCACCCAGTTCGAACTTCCTGGCTGCTTTGTTTACTTACTCAAGCCCGAGCAATGGCGGGCGCCCCTCCCCCAGCCCAACTGTTACCTTGCAGTTTGATCTCAGACTGCTGTGCTAGCAAACAGCAAGGCTCCGGGGGTGTAGGACCCTCCAAGCCAGGTGCTGGATATAATCTCCTGGTGTGCCATTTGATAAGCCTGTTGGAAAAGCGCAATATTAGGGTGGGAGTGACCTGATTTTCCAGGTGCCATCTGTCACCCCTTTCTTTGACTAGGAAAGGGAATTCCCTGACCCATTGTGCTTCCCAGGTGAGGTGATGCCTTGCCCTGCTATGGCTCATGCATGGTGCGCTGCACCCACTGTCCAGCACTCCCCAGTGAGATGAACCTGGTATCTCAGTTGGAAATGCAGAAATCACCCGTCTTCTGCATCACTCACGCTGGGAGCTGTAGACTGGGGCTGTTCCTATTCGGCCATCTTGGCTCCACCCTCTAATTTTTAACTTTCAAAAGATTAGATACATTTACCCTCTTCTGAATTTTAATTCCTGATGGAAAGATTGTGAAATCTCAAGAGGATAATGAATCAGCTTCTGATTATATTCTGGAATTGAGATTTGATCACACATCCAAGAATGCGTATTCACTTTCCTTTACATTACACACATGCATAATACCATGCTGAGTGATGCTGGAAAAAGTGAGTCTTCAGTAATGCCCTCATGAAATTACAGTCTCACTACACTGAGGTATTTTCTTTTTAACCCTTTCTTTCTTTTCTGTTGTGAATATGTGCCTTCTAAGAGGTGAACAACGGGAAAAACTGAAAAAGAACCTTCATCTAATTCAGTAACTAGCTTTTGTATCTTCTAAGAATTTTTATCTCCAGAAAGCTCTAATTTTCATTCCTTTACAAGCTTTATTTCTCTCTCCTTTCCAACACCAGACTTTGCTCTGTTTGTTTTCTATATCTTTTTTAGAGATGCCTACAATAGAAAAAAACTATGACATATTCAATACATCTGAAAAGTTTGCATTACCATAGATAAGAATGAATTATCTGTTTATAAAGAAAAAACAATAAAAATATGAACCAAGAAAGCACAGAAGGTAGTAACCACATTTAGATGTTTATCATGGAATCATCTTTATAATCCATCTGTTACAATTCCACACAGCAAATTACAAGTAATTGTGAAGTTTCCCCTCATTTTATAGGTTTGGTCTTATAAGGCATACAACACAAATTTTAATTACTTTTCATTTTGGTATTTGGATCTTAATTTGGTCAAGTGGCCACTGGGTAGATGATGGAGACTCTTGAGACATGCAGTCTTCTTCTAGCTTTGTTGATGTGAATATTACTGTGTATTTTTCATTCACTTATTATTTTACAAGGCATGCTTCATTAAAAATATATCAGCATCTCATTGACAAATCACAAAATTTAAAAGGCACCAGAAAAAAACAATTTATTTAAAACATTCCTGTGTAAAAGTAGTCACCACTCTTACTATTCTTCAAATATTTTTGTTATATTTAAACGCAAGCCTAGTTTTATCTCGAGTGTCTGACCTTGATGATATTGTACACTTTAAACTTAGAAAAATTGAACTCTATTGGAAATTTCCTACAGATCAGCTTTTCTAGATGCCAAGCGCCTTGTTTCAGCCATGGTGATGACAGCAAATTGTGTTCTCAGGGATTCTGGCCTCTGGCATCATCTCAGTTGTTTATAATTGAAGTTGGGTCTGATGAGAATGCAGCTTAGATGCATGGTGGGACTGCTGGGCTTAAGGCTGGCCTGCCAGGAGGTTGCATTGAGGTGTAACTAGGCAAAGAAAGAAGGAGTTTATTGAGGCACTACTGACAATAGCAAAGACTTGGAACCAACACAAATATCCAACAATGATAGACTGGATTAAGAAAATGTGGCACATAAACACCATGGAATACTATGCAGCCATAAAAATGATGAGTTCATGTCCTTTGTAGGGACATGGATGAAGCTGGAAACCATCATTCTCAGCAAACTATCACAAGGACAAAAAAACACCGCATGTTCTCACTCATAGGTGGGAATTAAACAATGAGAACACATGGACACAGGAAGAGGAACAGCACACACTGGGGCCTGTTGTGGGGTGAGGGGCTAGGGGAGGGAAAGCATTAGGATATATACCTAATGTAAATGACGAGTTAATGGGTGCAGCACACCAACATGTCACATATATACATCTGAAACAAACCTGCATGTTGTGCACATGTACCCTAGAACTTAAAGTATAACAAAAAAAAGAAGGGGTTGGGCAAAATTACCAACAATCTTCAACTATGAATTTGTATGAGTAGGGGCTTCCCACACCATCAGGCACTCCAAGTTGGAGAAACAAGGGATGTTGAATTGAAAGTTTAATTTTTTAGGCTTGATAGTCAGATTAGGGAAGTTTTGGGTACACCTTTCCCACTCTAGAGCCCTCTCCCTAACTCAGGGCCAATTTGGGGCATGGGCTCAGTGGAAAAGAGTGCCAAGATCAATTAGAAATATCCATCATGAACATAGGAGGCAGGCATTCTGGCCAAGGGGGTGCGTCTTCCCACTTTGTAATCCAGAGTGCGATTTCTTCTTGCTATCTGTCCCTCCATAAATAAGCGTTGGGTGAAGGACAAGCTAGTTACCATTGAGGATGGAATGAAATTCTACCAGAATTGCAAAATGAACTGAGAGCCACGAAAGTGTTCCTCTGTGAACCAGCAGAGAGATCTGTGGAAGGCAAAGGAAGAGGAGCCAAGAGGCCAGATAACATTCCTGCTTCCCCTACATTGTGAGAATGAAATTGTCAGCAACCTATATCAGTAATTAACCAGAGGCTTTTTAGAGAGTAAGACTTCTGATAGATACCTCAATAGCTGAAGTTGCTCTTCAGTACTGCATATAACCTGTGGACAGATTTTCATCATTATTAATTCATTTATTCAACAGATAGATATTAAATTCAAGGCATAGTTCTAAACTATGCAGTCAATTACAAAAAAATAATAATGAAGGACATTAGCTCTGCCTCATAGGACGTTAAAACTCTAGCTGCTAAATGAGACAAATAGGGTTCCCACATCAAGTGCCTGGGCTCCTGTTATAAACTGGACTCTGCTTCCATTGGCTTCTCTTGTTTCTGTTTTGATAAACCCATCATTTGGCTTAGTCCCTACCCTTGCCATGCTCACCCACCAGTAGGTGGACCTCCTTGACCATAACTACAGACATAGATCTTTGATTGTTTCTTTTCAAATGTTTGCTTACTTTAGAGGTGCAGTCAAATGTTGTTTGGACCAGACTCTGAGGCTGTGTGTGGTTGAAACTGTCTTGAGACTCAAAGAGCTATTGAGGAAGGGATTTGATAGCTGAACTCTTTTGAAGATTTTCTCTGTCTCTCACACATCTGGGGCTGAATAGCTTAACGTTTAATTTCTACATCGATGATAGTTTAATAGCCATTCATGCAAATCAGTTCTGCTGTGAGTTATTATCCTACTCCAATACCAACTAACGCATTCCTTAAATTTAGTGTACATATAAATTCTACATGGTAAGTGAAGCTGTCTTTATGAATGGCTGCTATAGAATATACTAGATTGTGTAGGTTTTAGTACAATCCAGGTAATTATCAAGCCTTTGTAATATTTTCAGGAAAGTGATCCTTTCACTTCAGTTTATGGAACTTGAAAATTTTTTAGTTGCCACCGACTAGTTAGATCATAAACTTAATTCTATGTATCTGAATTTATTTTTCTATTTATAAATTTATCTGGGTGCTTTCTCAAAGGTTTCCCAGATTAAAAACCTATGGCTTTGTAAAATTAAAACAGAAGTAATAGGAATTGTGTTAAAAAACAGAATCAGGCCAAGCCTGGTGGCTTATGCCTCTAATGCCAACACTTAGGGATGCCAAGGGGGGAGGATCATTTGAGGTCAGGAGTTCAAGACCAGCCTGGACAACATGGCAAAACCCCACATGTATTAAAAAAATACACAAATTAGCTGGGCGTGGTGGTGAATGCCTTTAGTCCTAGCTACTCAGGAGGCTAAGGCAGGAGAATAGCTTGAACTTGGGAGGCTGAGGTTGCAGTGAGCCAAGATAGAGCCACTGCATTCCAGCCTGGGTGACAGAGTGAGATCCTGTCTTAAAAAAAAGGAAAAAAGAAAAAGAAAAAACAGAATCATACAATGAGAGAGATTGTATAGCCCTTTTAATTGTCCATAATGGATACATTTCTTTTTCTGTGTAATAGTTTATCAGCATGAAAAAAAAGAGTCACTGAACACTGATAATTTTCTTTCTCTCTCTCTCTCTCTCTTTTTTTCCTTTTTTTGGAGATGAAGTCTCGCTCTGTTGCCCAGGCTGGAGTGCAATGGCAACATCTCTGTTCACTGCAACCTTCACATCCTAGGTTCAGGAGATTTTCCTGCCTCAGCCTCCCAAGTAGCTGGGATTCCAGGTGCACCCCGTCATGCCTGGATAAATTTTTGTATTTTCAGTAGAGACGGGTTTTCATCATGTTGGCCAGGCTGGTCTCAAACTCCTGACCTCAAATGATCTGCCCGCCTTAGCCTCCCAAATTACTGGTGATGATTTTCATTTAATGGTGTTCTACAAAGTGAGTTTAGGCAGTGAAAGGGCACAAGTCACCTATAGTTTACCAGAAAGTAGTACCAGTCACCAGCGTTGAAGCATACTCCTAACCCTGGAAAATTTCTTCAGCAGCCAGAATTAATGTCAGATTTTGAGACTGGAGCAAAGACTAATTTGGTATGTGTTCATTTAGATTAGTAAATCTCTATGGTGTTCGAACTGTATAATATCAAATCTAAAATAAGTCAAGAGAGTTAGACAATATCTCATCTCTGAGAAAATAAATGCATTATTTTCAAGAGATTTAAGACTGAATTTAAAATCCAACTGCCTATTCCAGTGTATGTTTCTCTAGAATATGGCCAAGCCCTACAAATTCTGGATAGTGTCCTCCAAGTTGTGTTTAAGTGATAATTGATAAATCTATGGTTTAGATACATATGGAATTCCACATAACTCTAGCTCCAGCCTTTGCGAGTAAAAATTGGCAGTGATCATGGCCTTAATGGAGGCATGTGGTTAATTGGAATTTTCAGTACCAAAAGTCTTCTTCTTACTAGTTTATCAGGGTACCCTATAATAGTATCCATAACTCATTGCCCACTTGTCTGTTTTGATTTCTTTTTTAAAAATACAATTTTAAACTTAGAGGTTTTGTACCTCAAGTCACATATGTGGCACATTTATAAAATAATCATGCCTTTGCATATTTTTCCTTTGATATCTTAGCTGTATATACAAGCCACTTATGTTTTTTAATTGCCACAAATATTGCACTGAAATAGAGCACTAGTTGCAAAAATGCCTGGTATAACATTTCTTCTTGTTCTTGAAAGTAATTTTAATACCCCATGTTTAAGATATTCCTAGACAACTATAAGTAACTATAATTATTTCTGCTAGGTAGAAGCATCTTTGTGGTCAACATTTGTGAAGTGCCTTGTAAATAAAAATATGCTTGAGTAGAAATAGTATTTTGCAAATATAGCCCTAAATAGAGCTACTGATTTTACCAAGAATTAAAGACTCCAAACTCTGTCTTTGTCTTTCAAATTTGGTTTATAGGAACATCTCATTACAATGAGCAAAAAGCCTATCTGATCATTAAAGAGATAATTTTGACACTTTCAAATGACACAGCTAATTTGTAGTAGGTTTTTGAAGTGCAAATTACAGGTTTCTGTTTAAATAATGACAGTAAAATATGGACAGTATCTATTCACACTCTATATACACAACTACAACTTGTCCCTAGAAGAAAAGTTTAATTTTTCAGGTCTCATCCACAAAACGAAGTGTTAATAAGCTGTATCTTTATTCTCACTTTTAAGTAATTTCTTCTTAACCATTGTATAACACTACCACAGTTTGTATGGAGATAAAATAACTCATGGTGAGAAATCCAGTTCTTTAAAAAATCATTTTACCTTCAATCACTTTTAGGATGTCTATGGTTTTAGAGTAAGGACGAAAATTTATAAACATTTGTTAAATTATGCAACTGTGTTTGAAGATGTTTCAAAATTACATTTTCCTTATTTTACAACTAGTTTTCATGTATTCACAAACGAGACACATGAGAATTATTAATGCAAAAGCACAGCATATCAACAAAGTTTATAATGTAAATAGTTTAGTTAGGAAAGAATGTAATGAGTGAATTATCAAAGCTATTTTATTGGTTCCTAGATTTACCATAGAAGAAAATAAAGCAGCCTTTTAAAAATTTCTCAGCACTGAGTCCATTTAAGGTCTGTATTGTATGCCGTAAGTTCTAAAAAATGTTATTGCCGGTAAAAATAGGATGCCTATCTAAAATTGTCTTTTTAAAGGTTCTCTCTTATTCTTCTTCCCTTCCTATGTGTGCACAGAATACTGTCATCGTCTTGATTGGAACACTATCTCTCTTTCTCAGAGGGTGTACATTTGTAGAAGGGAGAAAATATTTGTTAATTTTGCTTCCTATAAGATAAGGTCTCAATGGTTAAAGGTTAGTTAACAAACTTTTTTTTTGTCTTCATACTATTATCTTGGAATTACCAACTGGCTTCTACTTGGATTTTGAATAATGAAAGAAAAGAACTAGCATTTGTTAGAACTTACTGTGTTCCAGAAACTTTATTGATGCCATTTCTTCTCATTATCACATTCATTCTTTCAATTAGTATTATTTTTTTCCATCTTAATGAGGTGGGACCAGAGGTTTTGTAATATCCACTAACCCACTGTGGATTTCATGGATTGCAAGAGGAAGAAAGCATGGTGGAACTCAGGTTTCTCTGATTCCAAATTCACATCCTTTCATGTCTCCATGAAAAATAGAAAAGATAAATTGGGCTCTATTCTAACAAGAGAAACACAATTTTCCGTCAGTTAAATGAATAATTCTTTTTTATTTTATTTTATTTTATTTTTATTATTATACTTTAAGTTTTAGGGTACATGTGCACATTGTGCAGATTAGTTACATATGTATACATGTGCCATGCTGGTGCGCTGCACCCAGATACCTAAATGAATAATTCTTAAACCTCAAAAATAAAACGTAGCAAAACCTCAATTCAAGAGTAGACATAAAGGTTGTGACATGGGTGGCAGGGACATATGTCTAGTGACAGATTTCCTATGCATATCTGACCAAAAATCCCCCTCATGATTTTCAAATCAGATGCTTAACTACATTTAATGAGTTTCCCGAATCATTAATATCAGGCTCTGAAAACAGGATCATTAAAAATGATTAAGACTTTCAACAACAAATATCTTATCTAAATAGTAAGGAAATTATATTAGATGGCTCCATTCCCTGGGCAGTCTAGTTAACAATTCGACTTGTTCAAAGCTATAAAATATGGCAACTTAAAAAATTATGAAAGTTTTTCTAACTTTGTGCTTAAGGTAGTTGGCCATTCTTCCTCTTGGGAATAAGAAGGGTAGATTTTCTGTCGAAGCATTTTGCTATTGCTTTTCAATTTCCTTTTATGGAAAATAGATAAAATAGCAATTTTTTAATTATAAATTTAAAGTCAAAATGGAGATAATTAAGTATCTCCATTAATTAAGTAAAGATTAATTTTTTTAAAATAGCATTTTCTACATTCTAATCAATCAATTGATTGACTATTTTTATCCCTGGCTCAATGTAACTCTCTTTGACATACTCTTGTCTTAATTCTAGTTTAAGTCAAAAATGTGTAATCATAGATGACTCCTTGCCATTTTGATCTCTCAGTTCTATGAACACCTTTGTTCTAACAATAATGTTTTCCAACAGAATTATTTCTACTCAAACTTCTGAGATCAAATTTGTGGATTCAGTCTCACCCCAATCAATTCTTCAACTCTCAGGACACCAAATGGTGTCCTACAATTCAATTCAATCCTGAGACTATCTGGAGATAGCATAGATCCCAAAAGTTCAGGGTTCAGGCCCACAAGACTGCCCCCACACTATTAGAGAGGAGTTGTGGGCCTCCCATACTCCTGACCAACTGGCTATAAATTAGGACCTCCATGGATTCCTTCCTCAGGTTCTATAATTTGCTAAGATGGCGCACAGAACCCAAGAAAGCACTTTGCTTACAGTTACTGTCTGATACAAATCAGGAACTCTCAAATAGAAGAGACACATAGGGCCAGGTATGGTGAAAAGGGGCACAAAGCTGCCATATGACCTATAAGTATATCACTCTATCACCCTCCCAGCACCTCAGAGGTGATGGAGGAGAGGGCTGACAGTTTCAACCATCTAGTTATGCCTTCATGTTTCTGATGTCCAGCACACACCCTGAAGCTATACGGGTCTCCAGCCACCACTCATGTCATGTCAATAGCATAAACTCAGGTATGGCTAAGAGAGACTTATGACTAGTAAAGGATGGTCCTCTCATCTCTATCAGGAAATTTCAAGTTTTAGGAGCTCTGTACTGTGAACTGGGGAGGAAGACCAAATAGGACATACCCTAGACCAGTTGTGCTAACTACAGTGTGCCTCAAAATTGCCTACAGTTGTGTTACAATAAAAGATTGCTGAGACCTGCTATTGGAATTTCAGATTTGGTAGATCTGGGGCTGTAACCTGAGAATATGCACTTCTAGTAAGTTCCCAGGTGATGCTGATGCTGTTAGCACAGCGACCACACTTCCAGACGGACTGAGTGAAGCATCGTCGTTACTTATAATAGGAACTTCTCTGTAGTCACAATTTCATTCATCCCATTCTCTGAGCTCCTCCTTTAATCATTCCCTTTCATACGCTGACATAAAATTTTTCAATCTCTCTGAGACCTCCAAACTATTATTTTATCATAATCACAATGACCCTTACCTACTTGATGTACTCTATTTCCTGTTCTCCTGCCTAAATTCCATGGCCAACCATTCCCAGGAAACTTCAACTTCCTGGTTTCTCTTTCACTTTGCTGAAGCTAACCAGGAAAATAACCCTGGTTAGATCCAAATTTCCACCAAATCCCCACATATATTTGAGCAACTAGCTATATGGATCAAATTGAAAAATATCCCACTTGAAAATGAGAATCTCAGTGCTGCCAATCAATCAATCATACTACATATGTTCCAATCTATTCATTCTCTAATTTACCTAGTTTTGTATCTTATCCTCTCTCTAATCCCTAACACTTGCCCAGAAATCCTCAAAGTCTTTTTGGTTGTGCTTCCCTGAGAACATTGAATCATCCAAAGACAACTTCCACAGACTCCTGAAACCATTTAAACTCACTTTCCCGTCTACCCCCACATACTCTCCATTTTCACCTATTATTATCTGTGAAATAACTGGCCCCTATCTGTATATTGTCTGATGATGATTTCTATATTACAGGTGAAGAAAATGAGAATAGGGTTAGAGCTACTTTCTCATTATAGCATAGCTAAGAATCAAATCCACGCAGTCCACCACTGAAACTGGGGTTCCAAGTCAGTGTATTTGGAGAAGGAGAGCTAGTAGAAAAATAAGGATGAAAAGATCCAGGATGAAGCTTCTGATGGAAGAAAAGGACATTTTTACTATTATGAACTCCTTGAAGTAGACCTTAAGCATTCTCATCTGGACAAATATCCATTCATCCACTCCAGTGAGCTGACTAAGTTTTAGGATTTTAAGGGTCAGTGAACAATTATTCCTCATTCAGCAATTAAAGAAGGATTAATATGAATATTATCTTGGAGAAGTTTAATTTAAAACATATTTGATTGATTTTTGGCAATTGTCTTCTATCAGATCATTACCAATCCATATGAATTGGTAGGAAGGGAGAAAACCCAAAATTTAATCAGATGCCTGAAGTTAGGGAACATTTTATAACCAACCCAGGGGGAGAAAAATGCTCAAAAGGGGAAAGATGAGGACAGAAAATACATTTCAAAGATTTTAACTTTTTGACAAAATGTCATTTCCGTGCAAGAAAAACTGATTGTGTGAATATAACTGTCATTTATATCTGCCAATGTGTTCAGAAATATATAACCTATAATTTTTTTAATAGTAGTTTGTTAAAACAAAATTTATTCATCAAAGTATCTATAACATTCTAAAAATACTAAAAATTTTCAATTTAAATATTAAGCTAAACAGCTCTGTATATATAAATAAGCTCAAACAAACGTGCATGCTTCCCAACAATAACACTGCTACAGATATAGATTGGTGGTTTTGGTTTCATTTCATTTTATAATGGCAAATCTGGTTAAAACCCAGATTCTGGGCTGGGCACAGTGGCTCACGTCTGTGATCTCAGCACTTTGGGAGGCTGAGACAGGCAAATCACAAGGTCAACAGATCGGGACCATCCTGGCCAACATGGCGAAACCCCATCTCTTCTAAAAAAAATACAGAAGTTAGCTGGGCATGGTGGCACGTGCCTGTAGTCCCAGCTACTTGGGAGGCTGAGGCAGGAGAATCACTTGGACCTGGGAGGCAGAGGTTGCATGAGCTGAGACTGTGCCACTGTACTCCAGCCTGGTAACAGAGAGAGACTCCATCTCAAAACAAAACAAAACAAAACAAAACAAAACCCCAGATTCTGAACTGACTCTCACAATAAGGATCTCAATTGCTTCAAAGAGAATAAAACACCTAGAAATCCAACTTAAAAGGGATGTGAAGGACCTCTTCAAGGAAAACTACAAACCACTGCTCAATGAAATAAGATACAAACAAATGTAAGAACCTTCCATGTTCATGGGTAGGAAGAATCAATATTGTGAAAATGGCCATACTGCCCAAGGTAATTTATAGATTCAATGCCATCCCCATCAAGCAACGAATGACTTTCTTCACAGAATTGGAAAAAACTACTTTAAAGTTCATATGGAACCAAAAAAGAGCCTGCATTGCCAAGTCAATCCTAAGGCAAAAGAACAAAGCTGGAGGTACTACGCTGCCTGACTTCAAACTATACTACAAGGTTACAGTGACCAAAACAGCATGGTACTGGAACCAAAAGAGAGATAGAGGCCAATGGAACAGAACAGAGCCCTCAGAAATAATGCCACATGTCTACAACTACCTGATATTTGACAAACTTGACAGAAACAAGACCTAGGGAAAGGATTCCCTATTTAATAAATGGCGCTGGGAAAACTGGCTAGCCATATGTAGAAAGCTGAAACTGGATCCCTTCCTTACACCTTATACAAAAATTAATTCAAGATGGATTAAAGACTTACATGTTAGACCTAAAACCATAAAAACCTTGGAAAAAAAACTAGGCAATACCATTCAGGACATAGGCATGGGCAGGGACTTCATGTCTAAAACACCAAAAGCAATGGCAACAAAAGCCAAAATTGACAAATGGGATCTAATTAAACTAAAGAGCTTCTGCACAGCCAAAGAAAGCACCATCAGAGTGAACAGGCAACCTACAGAATGGGAGAAAAGTTTTGCAATCTACTCATCTGACAAAGGACAAATATCCAGAATCTACAATGAACTCCAACAAATTTACAAGAAAAAAGCAACCCCATCAAAAAGTGGGCGAAGGATATGAACAGACACTTCTCAAAAGAAGACATTTATGCAGCCAAAAAACACATGAAAAAATGCTCATCATCACTGCCCATCAGAGAAATGCAAATCAAAACCACAATGAGATACCACCTCACACCAGTTAGAATGACGATCATAAAAAGTCAGGAAACAACAGGTGCTGGAGAGGATGTGGAGAAATAGGAACACTTTTACACTGTTGATGGGACTGTAAACTAGTTCAAACATTGTGGAAGTCGGTGTGGCGATTCCTCAGGGATCTAGAACTAGAAATACCATTTGATCCAGCCATCCCATTACTGGGTATATACCCAAAGGATTATAAATCATGCTGCTCTAAAGACACATGGACACGTATGTTTATTGTGGCACTATTCACAATAGCAAAGACTTGGAACCAACCCAAATGTCCAACAATGATAGACTGGATTAAGAAAATGTGGCACATATACACCATGGAATCCTATGCAGCCATAAAAAATGATGAGTTTATGTCCTTTGTAGGGACATGGATGAAGCTGGAAACCATCATTCTCAGCAAACTATCACAAGGACAAAAAACCAAACACCACATGTTCTCACTCATAGGTGGGAATTGAACAATGAGAACACATGGACACAGGAAGGGTAACATCACACACTGGGGACTGTTGTGGGATGGGGGGAAGGGGGAGGGATAGCATTAGAAGATATACCTAATGTTAAATGACGAGTTAATGGTTGTAGCACGACAGCATGGCACATGTATACATATGTAACAAACGTGCACGTTCTGCACGTGTACCCTAAAACTTAATGTATAATAATAATAATTAAAAAAAATGAAAACATATGTCCACACACACAAAAAAAAGAAAAAAATAAGGATCTCAAAGAGGTCAATATGTATATAATCTATTCTTAAAAAAAAATTTTCTCCAATTGTTTATTGAAATATCACACAGGCTCTGACTTTGTTTATACCCTTAAAAACTATGTAGATTGATGTGTAGCTTTTGTAAAGTGAAAGCTCAGAATGTCTACTCTGTTCTGGTACCACTTTAGTTTAATTGTTGGGAAATATTTAATAAAAATGAATTACTCAACAAATGGAAAATTTGAACTTTGCATACTAAATTTTTACTTCATATTATCAACTCTTGAAAAATAAGTGTGTATATTAGAAATGACACTCATTTGACTATACCATAATATATTTCAGACATTTTATCTTCAGCTACAGAATTTCTCCATCCTTTGAATTATGTTAGAGGGCTTTAGTTGGCCAGTATTGGTGATTCGCCTCCACTAATTCACAACTCTATTATCTTACCCCCGGGGATGCATTTCCATAGTTCTGCCTTGTAATGAGTGTCATTTTTTCCTTCTGTTTTGTTGACTGCCATTCAAATAGTTTTGGCTTTATCAGAGATTTTCACTTTATTGTCACCCCCTCATTTTTTTAACTTCTCATAATTTACTGTATTATATCTGCCTGGGCTTTTGGTTCCTTTACAGATTTGTTTCACTTTATTTTTAGCTTATGATACTTCTAAAGTCTGTACCCTTTTAATTTTCACTTGCTTCATCGTCACATTCTTGTGTTTTGTTTTCATTTCAAAATACCAGAAAGTAGGATGTCTCAGCATCTTGGTGAGTGGAATAGTTTATTTATAATCCAAAAAAATCCCCCATACTTTTTGTGAGCTATCTGCTTCTAAGTAAAAATTTTATATATAAATTCTTTAAAAAAAATCTTAAACTTCTGAGGGATTGAATGAGATTTTAAAAATCATTCTATACAACAATGGGTGCAAAATTTGTATTCCTCTACTCGAGAAATCATGAATATTTGTTATTAGTTTACTAACATCTAAATATTAATGTATTCAATTATATATTATTAAAACACGATTAAGCTTAAGAGGTGGAAAAGTATAAAACAAACAAGTGTATAATCTACCTTTATTAATATGAAACATCTTTTTCTCTCCTGAAAATAAAGATTAACCAGGGGTGTGCTGGGGCGGGAGGGGGTGTGTTGGAGGGAGAAAAGCCATGATTTGCCAATTTCAGCACAAAACTGAAAATGGTTATTAATCTTTACTAGCTACAGATATCTTTTAACATATATTGAAATCTATGACCCTTAAAAGGAAACATATATACAGATTTTGACAAAACTTTGCAGTTCCACTCATGGATCCTTGTATAAGAATCCCTTTTATATGTGTGTTTGCAATTTAAAGAGTTCAGACTTTATGATTCACAGGTGACAATTAATGATTTAAAATCATAACTTAGGCTTTTATAATTTGGGAGTCCGGTGTTTAACTGCTGTAGTAGTAACTGCTTCTTCTCAGAGAAACTTAGGAGCTAAGACCAGGGAAATGTCCCTTGGTGTACAACACACCTCTTCTTTCTGAACATATCGTATAAGAAGCTAACTTTGTCTCAAAGTTTATATGACTTTTGCATTTGCAGTTACTAGCTATTTTCTTTTGGAACTGTTGGACTTGGAGAACTTTCCCTCTACCCTCTGAAGGTATGATAACTGAGTCTATTGAATAAATGGATAACAGGCATGTCAAAAGAAGAAAATGTGTACACATTTATTACACGCATGGGGGAATCACAGGAAAGAAAAGTGGAATCAAAAACAAAACAAAACAAACAAAACACCACCAAGAAAAAACCCCAGTGAGATTTAGGAGCTTATAGGGAAGGCAGGAGGAAGAATGTAGGAAACTTAGGGGAGAGCAAATGACTTTTGTGAAAGATGACCAGACCCTTAGGAGAATAGATGATAGTTTGTGGCAGTCTGTCTTAGTGTGGTATGGACCCTTAGTCTTGTCTCCTGTGATATGAGGAGTCAATTTTCCCTGGCTGATGAAACTCCTAGGAAGGAGATGAATGTCTTTGTGCTGACAAGACAGTATCTTGAAGTTTTGATTTCCAATTCAGTTCTAAATCTGCAGTGTATAAAAATCTCCTCATCATGCTTTGGATGTTATGGTAGATAAATGGTATCTTTACAAAGATACATTCATTCTGGTATTGAAAATTCCTTTTGGAGGATCTCTCTTGAGGAACGTAAAGGGAGTGCAGAGAAAGCATGTCCCGCATTTGTTGTTTTTCAAATATTTTCAGTTCGATGTAATCGGTACACCAAAGCAATCCATTTAGGACTGGCATTTCCTGAACACCTTCAGAACTCTTTTTATCCCATGTTATTTCTATGAGATCACGTGATTTAAGACCAACTTTTACTTGCCACTTACATATATATTGAAAAGGCAAACTTTCCTTTTGTAGTTTGCTAATTTTGGCAAAGTACTTTAAAAAAAGTTAAATTAAATGAGTAAGTGAAATTTTCTGTTCTATTGTTTTGAAAACAATTCTAGAAACTGTCCTTGTAAGAACAGCAAAAAGAGAAAAAGATAATTCTCAACTGCAGCTTCAACCATTCTTTGCTTAACAATGAGTTAATTAAAAGGCAAAACTCTATTTCAGGTTTATATGTGTCAATTGCTTGATTAGAAAGTAAATTATTTACCACATATAATCTGGTGTCAAAAAACTTATAATAAAATTACTTTGATTTTATTGCTTATAAGTTTGTGAATTTAAATCTCAACTTACAGTGATGAATTTATTTGCTTTGTGCTGACAAGACAGTATCTTGAAGTTTTGTTTTCCAACTCAGTTCTAAATCTGCAGTGTATCAAAATCTCCTCATTATGCTTTGGATGTTATGGTACATAAATGGTATCTTCACAAAGATACATTCATTCTGGTACTGAAAGTGCCTACTTAAAATTCTGCATGAACAGTTTTATTGAAAAAATATGTAGACAAGCCATTAATTATACACACTGATTTGGAACAAATTCTTACAGGAAGCATAGCATGTCTTCCATTAACTGTATACAATTTAAAAAAGTTACTGAAAGTCTTCCTGAAGTTAAACAATAAATCTTTTAAATTTAACCACTGTGCTCCATCAAAGGTAATTTTTTCTTTATGACACTCACTTAGGGGATACAGTCAGATCTCAGCCTACTTTAAACAACTAGGCAGTATTTTTAGTGCACTTTTCTGTTTGTTAAAAAGCTAGTTGTCAAAGTTGGCACCAGAGTTGGGGAGTTTTAAGAGGTTTAGAAGCCTAGCCATGAATACCCACAACAGTTACGGAGGCAAAGGAAATAGGCCTTTGAAAAGAAGGTAATGCCCTCTCCCTCTCCCTCTCCCTCTCCCCACGGTCTCCCTCTCTCTCTCTTTCCATGGTCTCCCTCTCCCTCTCTTTCCACGGTCTCCCTCTGATGCCCAGCCGAAGCTGGACTGTACTGCTGCCATCTTGGCTCACTGCAACCTCCCTGCCTGATTCTCCTGCCTCAGCCTGCTGAGTGCCTGCAATTGCAGGCGTGCGCCGCCACTTCTGACTGGTTTTCTTATTTTTTTGGTGGAGACGGGGTTTCGCTGTGTTGGCCGGGCTGGTCTCCAGCTCCTAACCGCGAGTGATCTGCCAGCCTCGGCCTCCCGAGGTGCCGGGATTGCAGACAGAGTCTCGTTCACTCAGTGCTCAATGGTGCCCAGGCTGGAGTGCAGTGGCTTGATCTCTGCTCGCTACAACCTCCACCTTCCAGCTGCCTGACTTGGCCGCCCAATGTGCCGAGATTGCAGCCTCTGCCCGGCCGCCACCCCATCTGGGAAGTGAGGAGCGTCTGCCTGGCCGCCCATCGTCTGGGATGTGAGGAGCCCCTCTGCCTGGCTGCCCAGTCTGGAAAGTGAGGAGCATCTCTGCCCGGCCGGCATCCCATCTAGGAAGTGAGGAGCGCCTCTTCCCGGGTGCCATCCCATCTAGGAAGTGAGGAGCGTCTCTGCCTTGCCACCCATAGTCTGAGATGTGGGGAGCGCCTCTGCCCTGCCGCCCCGTCTGGGATGTGAGGAGCCCCTCTGCCCGGCCGCCCATCGTCCGAGATGTGGGGAGCACCTCTGCCCGGCCACGACCCCGTCTGGGAGGTGAGGAGCGTCTCTGCCCGGCCGCCCCATCTGAGAAGTGAGGAGCGTCTCCGCTCGGCAGCCACCCCGTCCGGGAGGGAGGTGGGGGTCAGCCCACGCCCAGCCAGCTGCCCCGTCCAGGAGGGAGGTGGGGGGTCAGCCCCCGCCCGGCCAGCTGCCCCGTCCATTAGGTGAGGGGTGCCTCTGCCCAGCCGCCCCTACTGGGAAGTGAGGAGCCCCTCTGCCCGGCCACCACCCCGTCTGGGAGGTGTACCCAACAGCTCATTGAGAACAGGCCATCATGACAATGGCGGTTTTGTGGAATAGAAAAGGGGGAAAGGTGGGGAAAAGATTGAGAAATCAGATGGTCGCTGTGTCTGTGTAGAAAGAAGTAGACATGGGAGACTTTTCATTTTGTTCTGTACTAAGAAAAATTCTTCTGCCTTGTGATCCTGTTGATCTATGACCTTACCCCCAACGCTGTGCTCTCTGAAACATGTGCTGTGTCCACTCAGGGTTAAATGGATTAAGGGTGGTGCAAGATGTGCTTTGTTAAACAGATGCTTGAAGGCAGCATGCTCGTTAAGAGTCATCACCACTCCCTAATCTCAAGTACCCAGGGACACAAACACTGCGGAAGGCCGCAGGGTCCTCTGCCTAGGAAAACCAGAGACCTTTGTTCACTTGTTTATCTGCTGACCTTCCCTCCACTATTGTCCTATGACCCTGCCAAATCCCCCTCTGCGAGAAACACCCAAGAATGATC